>NC_000010.11:52718852-52870368 GCF_000001405.40 Homo sapiens
TGGGATTATTTAAACTAAAGAGATTCTGCACAGCAAAAGAAACCATCATCAGAGTGAACATACAACCTACTGAATGGGATAAAATTTATTGCAATCTATACATTTCACAAAGGCCTAATATCCAGAATTTACAAGGAACTTAAACAAATTTACAAATAAAAAAATTACCCCATTAAAAAGGGGACAAAGGACATGAACAGACACTTGTCAAAAGAAGACATTTATGTGGCCAACAAACATATGAAAAAAAGCTTGACGTCACTGATCATTAGAGAAATGCAAATCAAAACCACAATGAGATACATGAGATACCATCTCACGTCAGTCAGAATAGTGATTATTAATAAGTCAAAAAGCAACAGATGCTGGTGAGGCTGTGGAGAAATAGGAACACTTTTACACTGTGGGTGGGAATGTAAATTAGTTCAACCATTATGGAAGACAGTGTGGCAATTCCTCAAAGATCTAGAACCAGAAATACCCTTTGACCCAGCAATCCCATTACTGGGTATATACTCAAAGAAATATAAATCATTCTATTATAAAGATGCAAGTGTATGTTCATTGCAGCACTATTCACAATAGCAAAGACATGGAATCAACCCAAATGTCCATCAATGATAGACTGGATAAAGAAAATGTGGTACATATACACCATGGAATACTATGCAGTCATAAAAAGGAGCAAGATTATGTCCTTTCCAGGGGCATGGATGGAGCTGGAAGCCATTATCCTCACCAAAGTAACAAAGGAACAGAAAACCAAACACCACATGTTCTCACTTATAAGTGGGAGCTGAACAATGAGAACACATGGACACTGGGGCCTACCGGGAGGGTGAGGTGGGAAGACAGAGAGCATCAGGAAAAATAGCTAATGCATGCTGGGCTTAATACCTGGGTGACGTGTTGATAAATGCAGCAAACCACCATGGCACACATTTACCTATGTAACAAACCTGCAAATCCTGCACATGTATCCCAGAACTTAATTTTTTTTTTTTTTTGGAAATGGAGTTTCGCTCTTGTTGCCCAGGCTAGAGTGCAATCACTGAATCTCAGCTCACCGCAACCTCCGCCTCCCAGGTTCAAGCGAATCTACTGCTTCAGCCTCCCCAGTAGCTGGGATTACAGGCATGTGCCACCACACCCGGCTAATTTTGTATTTTTCATAGAGATGGGGTTTTTCCATGTTGGTCAGGCTGGTCTCAAACTCCCAACCTCAGATGATCCACGCGCCTAGGCCTCCCAAAGTGCTGGGATTACAGGTATGAGCCACCGCACCCAGCCAAATTAAAATTTGTAAAAAAGAGTTTCTGTTTCTGACTCACATAAAGGGGAGGAGCTAGAGGAAACTATGAATGAATAAACTATTTGAAAGTTATGTAGAGAATCCTCTCCAGTCAGTACTCCAAATGCCATTCTTCGTTAATGTCACATCCACCATAAGGATATGCATATCTAATTAGACTATATTTCCTTTTATTGAGTTTTATTTTTTATTTTAATGATACCTTCTTTTAAATGAAACTATAGGAAATATTTATCACTTCATATTTAAATTATAAACTAAAATACTCTTGATAATAAGCTCTCCTCAGATATTCTGTATATATTCCTGGCCCCATATTTTTCTTCCATGTGTTTTCTTATCCTTTAAGACCTAAGTCAAAAACTTTGCCAATAAAATGTCACCATTCTCTGCAGTCAAAATTAGTCTTGCCTCCTTCTGTGTGTTTAGGTTACTTTTCTGATTGCAATTATTACGTACTATTTTGGCTGTGTACTGTTGTACAGATTTCACCCGAAATGTTAGTGCTTAAAGCACCAATTTATTATTATTTCTTCTGTTTCTGTGGTTGATCAGAATCAGGTGAACAATTCTTTCATGTGTTTGCAATCAAATAGTAGCTGGTTATAGAGTCACCTGAAGTCTTGATTGAATTGATAGGAAGACTTTTTCACTAAAATCTGGGGTACTTTGGCTGAGAGAGCAGGAACAGATTAGGTCTGGCTGGGTCCTTTTTTTTCCCATGTGTTTGCTCCATGTAGCCTGCTTGGGCTTCCTCAGGGTAACTGGGCTTTTTATATGGAGTCTGGCTTCCTCCAGATCTAGTGTTCCAAGAAATATAGATGAAAGTGGTGAGGCTTTTCATGACCTAGACTTAAGAATTCTGGGAATTACTTTTGCCGTATTCTGCTGGCCAAGCAAGTCAAGCTAGCCCAGATTCAGGCAGAGGAGCATACACTCCATCTCAGTGTGAGGAGCAGCATGCATGTGCAGAGAGGGAAGGAACTGATGGTGGCCATTTTTGGAAATTACCTATCACATGTGAAACAGAAGAGGATTTCAATGCTGAAAGGAACCTGAAAGATCATCTTATACGTTTTCTCATTTTAATGGAGAAAAATCCAATTACTAAAAGTATGAATGCTATTTCATAAATGCTATTCAAGTATGAATAGTATTCATATTTCTAGTATGGGAAATAATCATCTCTCCAGTATATGCATGTTCTTCGCCTGTTTTAAAATTGTATTATTTGGTGTTGTTTTGCAATTGAGTTGTAGGAACTCTTTGTGTATTTAGAGTACTAACTCCTTATGAGATAATGTTTTGCAAATATTTTTTCCCACTCCATAAGTTGGTTTCTGCTCTGTTGATTATTTCCTTGGCTGTGCAGAAATATTTTAGTTTGGTATAGTCCCACTTACCTATTTTCACTTTTGCTACTTGTGTTTTTATGTTATATCCATGAAATCATTGCAACTCAATAGCAAAACCAAATGAAACAAACAAAAACAATTAAAAACTGGGAAAAGGGCTTGAATTTACATTTGTTCAAAGAAGAGATACAAATGGCAACAGGTATATATAAATATTATCAATATCACTAATTATCAGAGAAATGCAAATTAAAACTGCAAGGAGATATCACTTCACATCTATTAGGATAGCTAACATAAAAAATACACATATATTAATTTAAATATATATTTAAAACAAGTGTTAGCAAGGATGTGGAAAAATTGGAACACATACACTGTTGGTAGGAATGTAAAATCATGCAACTGCAATAAAAAATAGTATAGAGTTTCCTCAAAAAAGTAAAAATAGAACTACCATATGATTTGCCCATCCCATCTTTAGGTATATATTCAATAGAATTGAAATCCAGATCTGGAAGATATATATGTACTCCCATGCAACACTATTCACAATAGCCAAGTTCCGGAAACAACCTAAATGTTCATTGAGAGATGAATGGTGAAAGAAAATGTGATATGTACATATGATGGAATATTATTCAGACTTACAAAAAGAAGGAAGTACTGCCATATGCGACAATATGGATGAACCTGGAAGACGTTATGCTAAGTGAAACAAGCCAGTCACACAAATGCAGAGTAATTCCACTTATATGAAGTATCTAAAATAATTAGACACATAGAAATAGAGAGTAGAATGGTGGTTGCCAGAGGGTAGGGGAAGGAGGGAAATGAGGAATTGCTGTTTAACAGGTATAAGGTTTTAGTTTGCAAGATAAATTCTAGCGATATGTTGTACAGTAATGTGCCAATAGTTAATAATACTGTATTGTGCACTTAAAAATCTGTTCAGACGGTAGGTCTCATGTTAAGTGTTCTTACCACAATAAAAAAATAATAAAATAAAATAAGAGCAAACATTTCTACATATAACGTGTATTAGTTCATTCTCACACTGCTATAAAGAAATATATGAGACTGGGTAATTTATAAAGAAAAGAGGTTTAAGTAGCCCTTGGTTCTACACAGGCTGTACAGGAAGTCTGCTTCTGGGGATGCCTGTGGGGATGCCTTGAGAAGTTTTTGCTCATGGTGGAAGGCAAAGGGGGAGCCAGCATCTTACATGGCAGGATCAGGAGGAACAGAGGGAACAGGGAGGTTCTACACGCTTTTAAACAACCAGATCTTGTGAGAACTCTCTCTCTATTACAATGACAGTACCAAGGGGGATGGTGTTGAGAAACCATGAGAAGCCACCCCCATGATCAAATTACCTTCCATTAGGCCCCACTTCCAACATTGGGGATTACAATTGGATACGAGATCTGGGGGTGGGAACACAGATCCAAACCATATCAATACATAACAGGAAAAATGAAAGAATAACAACTTTAAAAATAATAATTAAAAAAATAGGCTAGATGTGATGGCTCAAACCTGTAATCCCAGTACTTTGGGAGGCTGAGGCAGATGGATCACTTGAGCCTAGGATTTTGAGGCCAGCCTGGGCAACATAGTGATATTTCATCTCTACAAAAAGTAAAATAAAATAAAATAAACAAAGTTAGCTGGGCATGGTGGCACATGTCTGTGGTCCGTCCCAGCTACTTGGGAAGCTGAGGCGAGAGGATTGCTGGAGCCTGAGAGGT
This sequence comes from Homo sapiens, assembly GCF_000001405.40. NCBI lineage: Eukaryota > Metazoa > Chordata > Mammalia > Primates > Hominidae > Homo > Homo sapiens. The sequence continues at coordinate 52,723,271 of NC_000010.11, forward strand.
GAAGGCTGCAGTGAGCTGTGATCATGCCACTGCACTCCAGCCTGGATGACAAATGAGACCCAGCCTCAATAATAATAATAATAATAATAAAATATTTAAGTAAAAATTTATTTAAGCATAAAAAGGCAAGATAAAATCATTTGCCCCAAATAAAATATATACATTTATCTCTCTTCCCTTCATGAACTACATGCTTGACAATGTGGTAGGATTGTTCTCAATAAGTGCAATAGTTTGTATACAACTTAGCAAAGGACCATGTATAAATTACACAAACAAGCATTTCCTAAAATCAATAAAGTATATTACAGAAAATAAATTTAGCTGTCCTGTATCTCATTTTAGGGAGTAAGAAAAAAGGTGAGGTTTTCTATTTTGGCTGTACATCTTATAACATGTATATAGTTTTGACTTGATTAAACTATTGTTCTGTGTTGTGAAATCAACTTAGGTATAATTTTAAAAAATAGATTCCCAGAGTGTCAGGGAAAATGGCAGAATAGGAGACAGGACAAATTTGCAGCTCCCACTCAGACCAACAGAGCAGCGTGGAGATCACATCGAGAATTTTTGTTCCAAGAACTACCACAGGAACATACCAGGAAAGCTGAGAGAATCCACATACCCTTTGAAGGAGGTGGATGGCCGCAACAGGCTCCATGGGACAGCTGAGGAACCGTGCGTCAGCTTGCTCTCTCAGCCGGAAGGCTGGTAGCCTGGGGTAAATTCTCAGCTCTGCACCGGCTGCCTGGAAATAAATTCAGTGCCGTTAGGGGGCACAGTGGGAGTGAGACCCATCTTTCAGGCTGTGGGCTACATGGGAGCTGGGTAAGGCCTATGGCTACCAGCTTTCTCCCACTTCCCTGGCAACCTGTGTGTGAGGTACCAGAGGTAGCCATAATGCCCCTGGGAACATAACTCCATTGGCCTGGGAACTACACTCCCATCCTCCACAGAAGCTGCAGCAAGCCCTGCCCAAGGAGAGTCTGAGCTCAGACACGCCTAAGCCTGCCCCCATTTGATGGTCTTTCTCTACCCACTCTGGTAGCCAAAGACAAAAGACATAATTTCTTGGAAGCACTATCCCCTGCAACCCCTTACCCCCACCCCCACCCCCCACCACCTGATCTTCCCTCTACTACTGCAACTGATGCACTCTTGAAAGCACCGCCTTCTGACTGGAGGCTAACCAACACTAAACCGGTGCACTTAACAAATATAAAACTGAGAACTCTCGCAGAGTCCACTTCACTCCCCTACTACCACCGGAGTAGGTGCTGGTATCCACAGTTGAGAGAACTGAAGATGGTTCACATCACAAGACTCTTTGCAGACACTCACCAGTACCAGCCCAGAGCCGGGTAGCTCCGCTGGGTGGCTAGTTCCAGAAGAGAAATGACAACCACTGCAGTTCAGCCGTCAGGAAGTCCCATCTTTATGGGAAGGGGAGAGCACTGCATCAAGGGAGCCCCCCACGGGACATAAAAAACTGAACAGCAGCCCTTGAGTTCCAGATCTTCCCTCTGACATAGTCTACCCAAATGAGAAGGAACCAGAAAAACAATTCTGGTAACATGACAAAACAAGATTGTTTAAAACCCCTAAAAAATCACACTAGCTCACCAGCAATAGATCCAAACCAAGATGAAATCTCTGAATTGCCAGAAAAAGAATTCAGAAGGTCGACTATTGAGCCATTTGAGGAGGCACCAGAGAAAGGTAAAGTCCAAATTAAAGAAAAAAAAAAAAAAGATAAAGGATATAAAAGGAAAAATCTCCAGTGAAGTAAATAGCATTTACTTCTATTCACAACTTCTGGAAATGAAGGACACACTTAGAGAATCACAAAATGCACTGGAAAGACTCTGCAATAGAATTGAACAAATAGAAGGAAGAACTTAACCCAATCTGACAAAGACAAAGAGAAAAGAATTTAAAAAAATGAAAAAAGCATCCAAGAAGTTTGGGATTACGTTAAATGATCAAACTTAAACAGTAATTGGTGTTCCCAAAGAAAAAGAGAAATCTAAAAGTTTGGAAAACATATTTGAAGGAATAGTTGACCAAGATGAGAATAAAATCAAGGACTCTACCCCTTTTACAGGAGCTGAAAAAAAATATTTAGGAATATACTTAACCAAGGAGGTCAAAGACCTCTACAAAACTACAAAACACTGCTGAAAGAAATCATAGATGACACAAACAAATGGAAACACATCCCATGCTCATGGATGGGTAGAATCATTATGGTGAAAATGACCATACTGCCAAAAGCAATCTACAAATTCAATGCAATTCTCATCAAAATACCACCGTCATTCCTCACAGAACTTGTAAAAACAATCCTAAAATTCATATGGAACCAAAAAAGAGCCAGCATAGCCAAAGCAAGACTAAGCACAAAGAAAAAATCTGGAGACACTACATTACCCTACTTCAAATTATACTATAAGGTCATAGTCAGCAAAACAGCATGGCACTGGTATAAAAATAAGCACATAGACCAATGGAACAGAATAGTGAACCCAGAAATAAACCCAAATACTTACAGCCAACTGATCTTTGACAAGGCAAACAAAAACATAAAGTGGGAAAAGGATACTTTTCAACAAATGGTGCTGGGATAATTGGCTAGCCTCATGTAGGAGAATGAAACTGGATCCTCATCTCTCACCTTATACAAAAATCAACTCAAGATGGATCAAGGACTTAAATCTAAGACCTGAAACCATAAAAATTCTGGAAGATAACATCGGAAAAACCTTACTAGACATTGGCTTAGGCAAAGACTTCGTGACCAAGAACCCAAAAACAAATGCAACAAAAACAAAAATAAATAGATGGGACTTAACTAAACTAAAAAGTTTCTGCACAGTAATAGAAATAATCAGCAGAATAAACAGACAGCACACAGAATGGAAGAAAATCTGCACAATCTATACATCTGACAAAGCACTAATATCCAGAATCTACAACAAACTCAAACAAATCAACAAGAAACAACAACAGTCCCCTCAAAAAAGTGGGCTTAGACATGAATAGACAGTTCTCAAAAGAAGATATACAAATGGTTAATGAACATATGAAAAAAATGCCCAGCATCACTAATTATCAGGGAAATGCAAATCAAAACCACATCTGATACTACCTTACTCCTGCAAGAATGGCCATGATAAAAAAAAATAATAGTAATAGATGTTGGAGTGGATGTGGTAAAAAGAGAATATTTTTACGCTGTTGGTTGGAATGTAAACTAGTCCAACCACTATGGAAGACAGTGAGAGATTTCTTAAAGAACTATAAGTAAATCTACGATTTGATCCAGCAATCTCACTATGGGGTATCTACCCAGAGGAGAAGAAGTCATTATACAAAAAGGATACTTGCACATGCATGTTCGTAGCAGCACTATTTGTAATTGCAAAAATATGGAACCATCTGAAATAGCCATCAATCAACAAGTGGATAAAGAAAATTATATATATATAAATTATACATAATTATATTTATATTTTATATGTCTAAATCATACATAAATTATATATAATTATATTTTATATGTATAAATCATATATATATAAATACACACACACACCATGGAATACTACTTAACCATAAAAAAGAATAAAATAATGGCATTTGCAGGAACCTGGATGGAATGGCAGACCATTATTCTAAGTGAAGTAACTCAGGAACGGAAAATCAAACATCATATGTTCTCACTCATAAATGGGAGCTAAGCTATGAGAACCCAAAGGCATAAGAATGATACAGTGGACTTTGGGGACTAGGGGAGAAGGGTAGGATGGGGGTGAGAGATAAAAGACTACACATTGAATATAGTGTACACTTCTCGGGTGATGTGTGCACCAAAATCTCAGAAATCACCACTAACGAACTTATTCGGGTAACCAAACACCACCTGTTCCCCAAAAACCTATTGAAATAAAAAAAATAGTTTCCCACAGTTGTTTTGTAAATTTGACTATGAAACAATGAATATATGTAATTACAAAATAAGATTACATCAAAATGAATATTAAAAATTTCCTAAAAATAGCAAAATGAAACAAAAAAATATAGCTCCGTATTGAGTTGTTCGATTAACCACATACACGTAAACAGGAATTCTTTCAGGTTACTTTAAAGCAGGGTAATTTGACAAGTTGTATACTTTAGTGAAATATATCTTTTTTTTTTTTTTTTTTTTTTGAGACGGAGTCTTGCTCTGTTGCCCAGGCTGGAGTGCAGTGGCACGATCTCTGCTCACTGCAAGCTCCACCTGGCTAATTTTTTGTATTTTTAGTAGAGGTGGGGTTTCACCTCATTAGCCAGGATGGTCTCGATCTCCTGACCTCGTGATCCGCCGGCCTCAGCCTCCCAAAGTGCTGGGATTACAGGCATGAGCCACCGGGCCTGGCCTGAAATATATCTTAAGATCAAATAACTGCAAACCAACACTCCCCCAAAAACCTAAGAAATGTTTTCACTGGTTATATCATTAGTAATAATTTTGTATTGTTATTTTGAAACTGGTTTTCAGTGTAGCAAGACAAAACTATAAGTAATGCTATTATCATTACATTAGGAATTAAGATTTTCATAATAAAAAGGGATATAACCATAAAATCAGGGAAGTTAACCTGAAATTTTGTATTTGTAAATTTGAACTTGAAATTATTGGTGTAAACTCATGATATATATGTTAAAAATATGCATTTCTTAGCTCTATTCACTAAGACATCCTGGACACAATGACCAATGATTATTCAGTAGCAATGAATAACATTAATGCACAGATGATTCTGGTCTTTCCATACCATTTCCCACTAAATCAAGACAAAGGTTATTGGAAAATGATTGAATCCAGTACTGGAAGAGGAAATGTACAAGATAAACTGGGAATATTTTGTGATAACAGAAAGCTACTAAAGATTACTGGGGTCATGGTCATGTGTAAAGAAATCAGGAGACAGCATGAAATGCATCCCAATAGTGAAAGATGAGACAAACTGAGAATTGGCAAGAATAACAACTGTGATAAATTAAAACTATCAAGTATTTTTAAAATCCCATGAGTTCATAATTACACCTCAAAAGCAAACAAATGAAGTCTTTAAGGAAACTTTGTAACATACTTTGAGAACCCAATCAAACTGGTTAAAAAAAGGTATGGAAGTTAAAATTGTATCCTATATTTTCTGTATGAATTTTAGCTCAAATACAATAAAATTGTAGGTAAGAAAAATTTTTCTCTTCATACAATTATCTAAGTTAATAAAAGAAGAAAGGATGATAGAATTAGCATATCACTATTTTGAAAACCCTTAATAAATTACTAGGCAAAGGCAGTAGTCATCAATGGCTGATAACAATCATAAAAAGATATAAAACTAGACACTGTTCTCCTCCCAGTAAAAGTACACAAAAACTTAGGATGTAATTCTGCCAGGAAATTAAACTTGAACCGTATCAATCCTCTAGGCTTGATAACAGTTAACTGAAAATAAAGAGAGGAAAATGCAAAATGACTTTACAGAGTTGCAATCTGCAAAAATCCAGACTGTAAGAAACTACAGGAATGCTTATCAAACTTTAACATGAACATAAATTGCCCAAGGATCTTGTAAAAATAGAGATTCTGATTTAGTAATGTAGGGTGGTGCTTGAAATTCTATATATTTGTAACAATCTCTCAGTAGTTGTCGATACTGCTGGTCCATGAACCACACTTTTGAGTAGCAAGCCTCAACGAAGTAAAATTAAGGCAAGGAAAACAAAGAGAAGTGTTCTATAAAGTAAAAGTGACTCTAGAGACATAATAATCAAGTGTAATGTGTGTACATTTTTTTCCTAGATTCATTGAACTAAGCGTGAAAAATTATGAGAAAGTGATAACTTGATATTTGAAAGTATTCTTATCGTTTTGAGATACACACACAATTTATGGCAGGATTGAATATGATGGTTAGAACTGGGTTCAAAATCATCCAGTGTATATTGGGGGACAGGGGAGAGAAAATATTGGAGAAGTGACAGGGATTATTGAGCTCATCATGTTATTTTTCTCTACTTTTTATGTTTCAAACTTTCCAAAAGAAAAACTGTTTCAACTGGCTCCGCAAAATCATTTGGCATATTTTAGTAAGATTTCAGTTGACTTTTTACGTTTCTCCTTACAGTCTTTACCAATTTGCTATGTGTATGCGAAGAGATTTTCTTGGAAGGTCTGTAGCTTTCATTATGTTTTCAAAGATGATTGAATAAACAGGAATACAACTAATAATACTTACATTCAGGAAATGACCTCCTTGGAAAACCAACAAATTGAATAAAATCGTAAATATGGTAATTTTATTAAAACACGTTTCTTGCTGCCCAGTGAACATCTTACATAGATCGCTTAGAGTGTAATATCTTAATAGAAGAGCACCCTCTGCTGTCTTGACAAGAAATATCACCACAAATGGGGAGACAATTGCATTTTCGATTTTTCCAGTAATCAGTTATGGCAAATTAAAATCAAGGTATGACAGCATAGTCAACTTTTCATTTAAACCCAGTATCATGGGGATTATGGAGATAAAATATACATGGTCTTTGTGCTTACATCTTATTTTTCTCTTCCGATTTTTCTCTCCCCTGAGGCCTTTGTGTGGAATCAATACAGTTCCTATGATTCTATAACCTGATTAAAAACACTCTCTGAGACTCTCAAAAATAATTACTCAACCTGGGCAACATAAGGAGACCCTGTCTCTGCAAATAATTAAAAAGTTAGCCAGGCGTGGTGGCTTGCATCTGTGGTCCCAGCTACTCTGAGGTGGGAGGATCACTTGAGGTTGGGAGGTCGAGGCTGCAGGGAGCCATGATCATGACACGACACTTCAGCCTGGGCAACAGAACGAGGCTCTGTATTAAAAAACAAATTACTTCCCTCAAAAAAAATTTTATATGGCAAGCATAATTTTATTTTATTTTATTTTTATTTTTGAGAGTCATTTTATTTTATTGTAGGTGTTGAGAGCTTGGGATATTTTGAAAGAAATAGTGCATTTAAAATGTAGACATTCATTCAATGAGTATTTTTTTTATTATACTTTAAGTTTTAGGGTACATGTGCACAATGTGCAGGTTAGTTACATATGTATACATGTGCCATGCTGGTGTGCTGCACCCATTAACTCGTCATTTAGCATTAGGTATATCTCCTAATGCTATCCCTCCCCCCTCCCCCCACCCCACAACAGGCCCCAGAGTGTGATGTTCCCCTTCCTGTGTCCATGTGTTCTCATTGTTCAATTCCCACCTATGAGTGAGAACATGCGGTGTTTGGTTTTTTGTCCTTGCGATAGTTTACTGAGAATGATGATTTCCAATTTCATCCATGTCCCTACAAAGTACATGAACTCATCATTTTTTATGGCAGCATAGTATTCCATGGTGTATATTTGCCACATTTTCTTAATCCAGTCTATCATTGTTGGACATTTGGGTTGGTTCCAAGTCTTTGCTACTGTGAATAGTGCCGCTATAAACATGCGTGTGCATGTGTCTTTTTAGAAGCATGATTTATAATACTTTGGGTATACACCCAGTAATGGGATGGCTAGGTCAAATGGTATTTCTAGTTCTAGATCCCTGAGGAATCACCACACTGACTTCCACAATGGTTGAACTAGTTTACAGTCCTACCAACAGTGTGAAAGTGTTCCTGTTTCTCCACATCCTCTCCAGCACCTATTGTTTCCTGACTCTTTAATGATTGCCATTCTAACTGGTGTGAGATGGTATCTCATTGTGGTTTTGATTTGCATTTCTCTGATGGCCAGTGATGGTGAGCATTTTTTCGTGTGTTTTTTGGCTGCATAAATGTCTTCTTTTGAGAAGTGTCTGTTCATGTCCTTTGCCCACTTTTTGATGGGGTTGTTTGTTTTTTCTTGTAAATTTGTTTGAGTTCATTGTAGATTCTGGATATTAGCCCTTTGTCAGATGAGTAGGTTGCGAAAATTTTCTCCCATTTTGTAGTTTGCCTGTTCACTCTGTTGGTAGTTTCTTTTGCTGTGCAGAAGCTCTTTAGTTTGATGAGATCCCGTTTGTCAATTTTGGCTTTTGTTGCCATTGCTTTTGGTGTTTTAGACATGAAGTCCTTGCCCATGCCTATGTCCTGAACGGTAATGCCTAGGTTTTCTTCTAGGGTTTTTATGGTTTTAGGTCTAACATTTAAGTCTTTAATCCATCTTGAATTAATTTTTGTATAAGGTGTAATGAAGGGATCCAGTTTCAGCTTTCTACCTATGGCTAGCCAGTTTTCCCAGCACCATTTATTAAATAGGGAATCCTTTCCCCATTGCTTGTTTTTCTCAGGTTTGTCAAAGATCAGATAGTTGTAGATATGCGGCATTATTTCTGAGGGCTCTGTTCTGTTCCATTGATCTATATCTCTGTTTTGGTACCAGTACCATGCTGTTTTGGTTACTGTAGCCTTGTAGTATAGTTTGAAGTCAGGTAGCGTGATGCCTCCAGCTTTGTTCTTTTGGCTTAGGATTAACTTGGCGATGCGGGCTCTTTTTTGGTTCCATATGAACTTTAAAGTAGTTTTTTCCAATTCTGTGAAGAAAGTCCTTGGTAGCTTGATGCGGATGGCATTGAATCTATAAATTACCTTGGGCCATTTTCATGATATTGATTCTTCCTACCCATGAGCATGGAATGTTCTTCCATTTGTTTGTATCCTCTTTTATTTCCTTGAGCAGTGGTTTGTAGTTCTCCTTGAAGAGGTCCTTCACGTCCCTTGTAAGTTGGATTCCTAGGTATTTTATTCTCTTTGAAGCAATTGTGAATGGGAGTTCACTCATGATTTGGCTCTCTGTTTGTCTGTTATTGGTGTATAAGAAAGCTTGTGATTTTTGTACATTGATTTTGTATCCTGAGACTTTGCTGAAGTTGTTTATCAGCTTAAGAAGATTTTGGGCTGAGACAATGGGGTTTTCTAGATATACAATCATGTTATCTGCAAACAGGGACAATTTGACTTCCTCTTTTCCTAATTGAATACCCTTTATTTCCTTCTCCTGCCTAATTGCCCTGGCCAGAACTTCCAACACTATGTTGAATAGGAGTGGTGAGAGAGGGCATCCCTGTCCTGTGTTTTCAAAGGGAATGCTTCCAGTTTTGGAAAACATCCCAGTTTTCAAAGGGAATACTTCCAGTCTCTGCCCATTCAGTATGATATTGGCTGTGGGTTTGTCATAGATAGCTCTTATTATTTTGAGATACATCCCATCAATACCTAATTTATTGAGAGTTTTTAGCATGAAGGGTTGTTGAATTTTGTCAACGGCCTTTTCTGCATCTATTGAGATAATCATGTGGTTTTTGTCTTTGGTTCTGTTTATATGCTGGATTACATTTATTGATTTGTGTATATTGAACCAGCCTTGCATCCCAGGGATGAAGCCCACTTGATCATGGTGGATAAGCTTTTTGATGTGCTGCTGGATTCGGTTTGCCAGTATTTTATTGAGGATTTTTGCATCAATGTTCATCGAGGATATTGGTCTAAAATTCTCTTTTTGTTGTGTCTCTGCCCGGCTTTGGTATCAGGATGATGCTGGCCTCATCAAATGAGTTAGGGAGGATTCCCTCTTTTTCTGTTGATTGGAATAGTTTCAGAAGGAATGGTACCAGTTCCTCCTTGTACCTCTGGTAGAATTCGGCTGTGAATCCATCTGGTCCTGGACTCTTTTTGGTTGGTAAGCTATTGATTATTGCCACAATTTCAGAGCCTGTTATTGGTCTATTCAGATATTCAACTTCTTCCTGGTTTAGTCTTGGGAGGGTGTATGTGTCAAGGAATTTATCCATTTCTTCTAGATTTTCTAGTTTATTTGCGTAGAGGTGTTTGTAGTATTCTCTGATGATAGTTTGTATTTCTGTGGGATCGGTGGTGATATCCCCTTTATCATTTTTTATTGCATCTATTTGATTCTTCTCTCTTTTCTTCTTTATTAGTCTTGCTAGCGGTCTATCAATTTTGTTGATCCTTTCAAAAAACCAGCTCCTGGATTCATTAATTTTTTGAAGGGTTTTTTGTGTCTCTATTTCCTTCAGTTCTGCTCTGAGTTTAGTTATTTCTTGCCTTCTGCTAGCTTTTGAATGTGTTTGCTCTTGCTTTTCTAGTTCTTTTAATTGTGATGTTAGGGTGTCAATTTTGGATCTTTCCTGCTTTCTCTTGTGGGCATTTAGTGCTATAAATTTCCCTCTACACACTGCTTTGAATGTATCCCAGAGATTCTGGTATGTTGTGTCTTTGTTCTCATCGGTTTCAAAGAACATCTTTATTTCTGCCTTCATTTCATTATGTACCCAGTAATCATTCAGGAGCAGGTTGTTCAGTTTCCATGTAGTTGAGTGGTTTTGAGTGAGTTTCTTAATCCTGAGTTCTAGTTTGATTGCACTGTGGTCTGAGAGACAGTTTGTTATAATTTCTGTTCTTTTACATTTGCTGAGGAGAGCTTTACTTCCAACTATGTGGTCAATTTTGGAATAGGCGTGGTGTGGTGCTGAAAAAAATGTATATTCTGTTGATTTGGGGTGGAGAGTTCTGTAGATGTCTATTAGGTCTGCTTGGTGCAGAGCTGAGTTCAATTCCTGGGTATCCTTGTTAGCTTTCTGTCTCATTGATCTGTCAAATGTGGACAGTGGGGTGTTAAATCTCCCATTATTATTGTGTGGGAGTCTAAGTCTCTTTGTAGGTCACTCAGGACTTGCTTTATGAATCTGGGTGCTCCTGTATTGGGTGCATATATATTTAGGATAGTTAGCTCTTCTTGTTGAATTGATCCCTTTACCATTATGTAATGGCCTTCTTTGTCTCTTTTGATCTTTGTTGGTTTAAAGTCTGTTTTATCAGAGACTAGGATTGCAACCCCTGCCTTTTTTTGTTTTCCATTTGCTTGGTAGATCTTCCTCCATCCTTTTATTTTGAGCCTATGTGTGTCTCTGCACGTGAGATGGGTTTCCTGAATACAGCACACTGATGGGTCTTGACTCTATCCAATTTGACAGTCTGTGTCTTTTAATTGGAGCATTTAGTCCATTTATATTTAAAGTTAATATTGTTATGTGTGAATTTGATCCTGTCATTATGATGTTAGCTGGTTATTTTGCTCGTTAGTTGATGCAGTTTCTTCCTAGCCTCAATGGTCTTTACAATTTGGCATGATTTTGCACTCGCTGGTACTGGTTGTTCCTTTCCATGTTTAGTGCTTCCTTCAGGAGCTCTTTTAGGGCAGGCCTGGTGGTGACAAAATCTCTCAGAATTTGCTTGTCTGTAAAGTATTTTATTTCTCCTTCACTTATGAAGCTTAGTTTGGCTGGATATGAAATTCTGGGTTGAAAATTCTTTTCTTTAAGAATATTGAATATTGGCCCCCACTCTCTTCTGGCTTGTAGAGTTTCTGCCGAGATATCCACTGTTAGTCTGATGGGCTTCCCTTTGTGGGTAACCCGACCTTTCTCTCTGACTGCCCTTAACATTTTTTCCTTCATTTCAACTTTGGTGAATCTGACAATTATGTGTCTTGGAGTTGCTCCTCTCGAGGAGTATCTTTGTGGCATTCTCTGTATTTCCTGAATCTGAATGTTGGCCTGCCTTGCTAGTTTGGGGAAGTTCTCCTGGATAATATCCTGCAGAGTGTTTTCCAACTTGGTTCCATTCTCCCCATCACTTTCAGGTACACCAATCAAACATAGATTTGGTCTTTTCACATAGTCCCATATTTCTTGGAGGCTTTGTTCATTTCTTTTTATTCTTTTTTCTCTAAACTTCCCTTCTCGCTTCATTTCATTCATTTCATCTTCCATCACTGATACCTTTTCTTCCAGTTGATCGCATCTGCTCCTGAGGCTTCTGCATTCTTCATATAGCTCTCGAGCCTTGGCTTTCAGCTCCATCAGCTCCTTTAAGCACTTCTCTGTATTGGTTATTCTAGTTATACATTCGTCTAAATTTTTTTCAAAGTTTTTAACTTCTTTACCTTTGGTTTGAATTTCCTCCTGTAGCTTGGAGTAGTTTGATCATCTGAAGACTTCTCTCAACTCGTCAAAGTCATTCTCCATCCAGCTTTGTTCCGTTGCTGGTGAGGAACTGCGTTCCTTTGGAGGAGGAGAGGCGCTCTGCTTTATAGAGTTTCCAGTTTTTCTGCTCTGTTTTTTCCCCATCTTTGTGGTTTTATCTACTTTTGGTCTTTGATCATGGTGATGTACAGATGGGTTTTTGGTGTGGATGTCCTTTCTGTTTGTTAGTTTTCCTTCTAACTTACAGGACCCTCAGCTGCAGGTCTGTTGGAGTTTGCTAGCGGTCCACTCCAGACACTGTTTGCCTGGGTAACAGCAGTGGTGGCTGCAGAACAGTGGATTTTCATAAACTGTGAATGCTGCTGTCTGATCGTTCCTCTGGAAGTTTTGTCTCAGAGGAGTACCTGGCCGTGTGAGGTATCAGTATGCCCCTACTGGGGGTGCCTCCCAGTTAGGCTGCTCGGGGGTCAGGGGTCAGGGACCCACTTGAGGAGGCAGTCTGCCTGTTCTCAGATCTCCAGCTGCGTGCTGAGAGAACCACTGCTCTCTTCAAACTGTCAGACAGGGTCATTTAAGTCTGCAGAGGTTACTGCTGTCTTTTTGTTTGTCTGTGCCCTGCCCCCAGAGGTGGAGCCTACAGAGGCAGGCAGGCCTCCTTGAGCTGTGGTGGGCTCCACCCAGTTTCAGCTTCCTGGCTGCTTTGTTTACCTAAGCAAGACTGGGCAATGGTGGGCGCCCCTCCCCCAGCCTCACTGCCGCCTTGCAGTTTGATCTCAGACTGCTGTGCTAGCAAGCAGCGAGACTCTGTGGGCGTAGGACCCTCTGAGGCATGTGCGGGATATAATCTCCTGGTGTGCCGTTTTTTAAGCCTGTCGGAAAAGTGCGGTATTAGGGTGGGAGTGACCCGATTTTCCAGGTGCCGTCTGTCACCCCTTTCTTTGACTAGGAAGAGGAACTCCCTGACCCCTTGCACTTCCCGAGTGAGGCAATGCCTCACTCTGCTTCGGCTCGCACACGGTGCGCTGCACCCACTGTCCTGCGCCCACTGTCTGGCACTCCCTAGTGAGATGAACCCGGTACCTCAGATGGAAATGCAGAAATCACCCGTCTTCTGCATTGCTTACGCTGGGAGCTGTAGACTGGAGCTGTTCCTATTCGGCCATCTTGGCTGCCCTCTAATGGCAAGCATAATTTTAAAAAAGATTACATGATAGACCCCTGAATTTTAGTCCTATTTCTTTTTTCTAGTTTTTTCTAATTCACCCCTACAATTTTAATAAATATTTATTAATGTCTGCTGTCTACTTGAGCCTCTAAAGAATAGACATAATCTGAAGGGACAGGACTTAGATATTTTCCAACAATTTAGTAGTGATAAAAACTATTTTTCTAAAATGATCATTTTGGAGAATCCAATATATAAACTAGATTAAGGTTGCTCTAGTTCATGAGGTGGAAAACCACAGTCCACACAGCAAATCCAGTCCACCACCAGTTTTGGTAAAAAGAAAAAGTTTATTTGTACACAACCACTACGGTTCATTGACAACTGAAACTATAAGATAAATGAAATGATGGTTTTTAAGACATTGAACATTAGGCAAAAGAGAATGGAGAGACTAGAAACAAACTAAAGGAGCCCTAAGACACCCCCAGCTCACTTCCCTGAGAGAGTTTTCAGGTTAAAGTTTAGGGGCAGAAAATGAGGTGAAGTGCATTGGATGCCCTGAGTTGAGGGAATAGAGCTGAGAGATCCTGGAGACATGGACATTTAGAGTTTATAGGAAAGAGTGCCAAATCAGAGAGCACTACACAGAGAGAGGATCCGAGAGATCTTTGAGTATTCAAAACTCTTCGAGCAGGTTTGTGAAGATTTTGTCCAAAGTAAGAACAAAAAAAGTCTGAAAAGATTAGAGTGAATAGTGTCCAGCAATCACACAAGGCTGAGAACCGTGCCTTTACCAACGAACCAGCTAGAAAAACTCTTAATTCATGGAGCTTTGGGGAAACTGCTCAATAGAGGGGAAGCATGAGCTCTAGACAGAGCAGTGCTCTGGATCTCCACATAAAAGCAAGACCTGAGAAAAAACCAACTACTTCCAAGTAACTTAACTGGGTGCCAGGATGATATTTTTCACATTTAAGCAAGTCACTTGTAGAAAACCCACAAAGAGGTCATGGGAGAAATTAGAAATTATTTTTATCTGAGTCATAATGAAAACTAAATGTTTAAATTTTGGTGATAGGCATAGCTAAAGCAGTTCTTATAAGAAAATTTATAGCTTTAAATGTTTATATTAGAGTGGAATAAAGACATGAAATAAATTATCTAATTATTCCTTTTATAAAACTAGAAAAATATGCTTCAATTAAAATAAGTAGAAGAAAGGAAATAAAGATCAGAGCAAAATTAATGGTATACAAAGCTGAAAAAAATGAGAAAATAAAGCCAAAAGTTGTTTTTATGAACATTAATACAATTTTTAAATATCTAGCAAGACACATCAAGAAAACATGAAAAAATGCAAATTAGCAATATCAAGAATTAAAAGGGACTATCACAACTGATCCTAATAGATATCAAAAACATAAAAAAAGATTGTGAACAACTTTCTCAACAAATTTGTGAAGTTAAATTCCTTAAAAATTAAAATATAATGAATATGATACAAGATTGAGTAGACAATTCTCGAATAGACAAGATCGAATAGACAATCGAATAACCCTCTACCTACCAAAGAAAATTAATTTGTTATCAAAACTTGCCCCACAAAGAAAATTCTAGGCTCAGATGGGGTTTCACTGGTGAATTCTATTAAATATGTAGAAAGAAAGAAAGTAAATCCTATGTAAACTCTTTCAGGAAGAAGGAATAAGGAACACTTTCTAATTCATTAATGAAGGCAGTATAATCCTGACATTAAAATCTGAAAATGATACTCCAAGAAAATACCGTAATAAACATGTTGGTAAAAATTCTTAACAAGTCTAGACAAAATCTAGACTACTCAGGCTCTCTGCACACAACAAAAACGGACAACAGGCCCCGCTCCTAGCTGGCATGAGCAAGTGCTGCTTCTCTACTAAATACAGATCTAGCCCTCTCTGTTCCTCCCCAGTTCTAGAAAAAGGTAATGACATCCAATCCTATTACCCCTGCTTCCTGACAGCACCTGGACCAGATCAGACTCATATATTCGTGAGTCTCCCCAACCTGAAAATCACAAAGCACAAGTACAAATTCCATGCACATTTCCTCCTGACAAACTGACTGAGCGATCCTATGGTTCCTCCAGTAGTACAATCTTCCTTGATACAAGTACCAGGAAAATAAACTTTGCCTCATGACAGTTGTGTTCCTGGTGGTTTTTGACTAAAGATCTTTGATTGATGGTTTCATGTTCTCTGTCTTTATCTTCCTCACAACATTTCTGGGGAAGTAGCGTGGGACTACAAAACTTATTTGATGCCAGTATAAGTGGTTTGTTCAAATTCACATAGATACCAAATTCACAGTTAAGAGTCAAAGTCTCTCAATCTCCAGCTGTTTCTTCAAGATGGAGCAGTCCACAAAGGCTGCATCCCAGAGTAAGAAGAAATAGAGATAATTGCAACTGAGGCCAGCGGACTCAGAATGGAGTGGAGACCATGAAAATCCTGCAGGAAAGAGTTGTGCGAGGGGGCAGAAACAGGCCAGGCGGTGAAAAACGGGCCACAAGTGGGGCAGGCACTCATCTTATAGGTCAGAGAGGCAACTGATTCTGCAGGGAGGTGGATGAGTTGAATGAGGTGGATGTCTGGGAGGAAGAAGCAGTGGACAAGGCTCAAGGTCCTAGAAACTCTGACAATGACTATAGGGGTGGTGTGAAGGTGCTCAGAGATGCTAAATGACAACCATTTAGCAGAGTTTGTTGTACCTGTTAGGAGCCTAGCATTGTGACTACGAGCATTTAGATGACCATTGCTCAGCATTTTAATAATTACAGAACCAGAAGTCAATATTTTCTGGAGAGAAATTGGTACTTGCCTCTTGAAATGCAAAGTTCACATTTCCCTGGTGGAGGCTCTTGGGTCAGAGGTGTTAACAGGATGGAGAAGAGTTTTGTGGTCTCAGGCTTGTGGGGGGGTTGTGGGCTGCCCTGGCCTGAGGACAGCAGGAGGTCCAGGTCAGTATATGCTGAATGGGTCTAGGCAGGATGGAAGGATGGGGTGGTCTTGAGAAAGTTCATTTTACCCTTGGCCATCAGAGAGCAGGGCTCCTCTCCTTACCCCTGGCTGGTGGGGAGCATTCTCCAGATTTTCAAGAGTCCCCACAGAATGGCTCTGGGGCTCAGAAGCCTGGGAGGCATCCCCATCTTCCAGACAGAGTTGCAAATGCTGAGCCAGTCATGGCTTCTCAATTGGACCAGAATTCCTTCCATGTGTATGTTATTCACATCCCCATGTCATGAATAAGGAAACTGAGGGTCAGCCAAATGAGGTCACTTGTGAAGTGAGCACTTAGTAAAGAGCAGAAGCAGAGCCTCTCGTTAGGCAGGTGAGGTCACTTGTGAAAGTCACTGAGCTCAGGAGAGAGTAGACCCTTGCCTGGCTCCTATGTCTGCCAAGCAGATGCTGATCTTGTGTTTCCCATTGCCTCTCTGGTTTGGAGCCTTGAATCACCACCTTTGTCTCAAATTTAATCACCCCGTTTTCCTTCCCTCAGCAGGATTCCTTCAGCATTAAGCAAAACTAAGATCTCTGGGGCCAGCATGGAACCCCAAAGTCAGACTAGAGTACTCACATCCCGAACTTACAGCATGGGATCCAAGACACCTCTTTGCCCAGAGGACAGGAATGGAATCATGTTTTTCATCAATGACCAGTAAATAGCCCAAAGACTCAGCAACATGGGCAGAGCTGGAGCCTGGAGCCCACAGCCCAGTGCCCAAAGCCTGAATGAGGAAACTGCAAGGAGAAGACAAGATTTAGGGGCTCAGTTAAGCTTGTAGCACTACAGCCCTGCAGATCACCAAAGTAAGGCCCAGAAATATAAGGTCAGTTCTTGGAACCCAAATGCCAGATGCCAAGCGAGGGCCCAGAGCCAGAGGCCCAGGCCTCAAGCAGAGCCCATGACCCCTAGTTCAGGATCCAACACACAGAGCCTGGAGCTTCCTCTTCTTCAGAAAACTGAGATCACTGCCCAAGCACAGTACAGGGTCAATCCCACCCACTGGAACCAAGACCCAGGGCCTAGACTGCAGAGTCCAGGGTCAGAAGTTCAGTGACCAGAGCAGAGGGAGCAGATTTAGAATCCTAATTCTCTTTTCTGAGCTCAAATACCCAATCACTAAGGGTGTGACCACTGCCCAGAGCCTGCAGCTGAGACCCCAGGACCCTGAGATCCAGAGACCAGAACCCTGAGATCCAGAGACCAGAACCCTGTACCTGGGAGGAGAGTGCCCTAAAGAAGGGACAGCTGGGAGCTGCACGTAATTCTCATGTTGATTCTCAATGCTAGAGAGGATGCAGACCTTTGATCTACTTGCAGATCATCACAAAAGCCAGGCTCTTTCCCTTCCCTGAGCATGTCTACATGGTGTTCCCCAGGTCTCATGTTAGATGTCATGTGCGGTCCTCAAAAAGGCCTCCTAGATCTTTGTGCCCATCCCCTTGGCCCAATGCAGTTCTTAACACTGCCAGCAGAGGGCAGAACTGTTACATGCTTTTCCTACTGGTTGTTGAAGGGGCTGCCTCTCAGGGGCTTCTGCTTATCCTACAGGGTCCCTGAGGGTTCAGCATTTCCCATGCCTCACGTTGGCTCCAAGAGGCCATTCGGAGAAGCTTTTTTCATCATTCCATCTCTGTGAAGAGGAAAGTCTTGTTGGAGAGGTATTTCTGGTTAGTCTAACCACCTTTCTCAGGGCTTCTGAGTATCTGCAGCTTCCTATATTGCAGGGCAATGCTTTTTCCTGCTCAGATCTTAGGGAAGACCTGTTTTTTCAGGCTAAGGGAACAAACACTCGAATGCTATCTCAAAGATGCTCACAGCAAACATTCTACTGGCCAGTGCTGTCCACATGCCAGTTTCATAGGGTTGAGAGCTGAGGCCCAGCAAGTTGTGGTCAGTGGGAAGTAACTGCTCTGTTAAGGGCAGAGCACGCATGTGGCATGCAGTGGCATCTGGTCTATGCACATCTGCTGTCTTCCCCTCTTCCTGCTATCAGACCAGTGCCTGGTATTCTGGAAAAATATGTGGGAGGTATGGGGGAAATTAGTGACTGCATCAGCCTCATCTGGACTAGGAGCTAGTTCTCTGGGGTCTCAAATGCATTTCTTGCTTGAGGAGGATTGCAAACCATCCCCTGGATGGAACCTCCCAGGACACAGCTGCTGAGGATCCTCGATCATGCCCTGCCATAGTTTCATCCAACCTCCCCATCTTTATATTCTTGTTCAGCAGCACCCTAATATAGTGCCCAGTGCTGTTCCTTCATCCTGTTTCTTATGAGAGGATGAGGAGGGTTCAGGGATGCCAGTTCTCTTCCTATTGCCTCTTGGCAAGGAAAAACCCCAAAGCTGCCCTCGGGCCAGACAGGGGCTTTATAGGCCTGAACCTCATAAGTCATAGATCATCCTCATCTTATACATCTATGCACATCCGCATATTTCCCCAATACCAGTGAATAGACACACATACATACACAACCACCTGCAAACACTTGGACATGCTTCACACAGACAGGAATACACAGGGCAAGCACAGACATGCAAGAATCATAGAGACATAAATAGACCTACCCCTGATGTATAAAGAAGCACAAGTATGCACCACTCTGTGACACTTGGTGAGGGCAAAGCATATCTGTATTTTCACTACTCCCATTGGAATTAACTTCTACTAAGTTGGGGCTGGGTAGAGGTCAGTCTCAGCAATTTATGCATGCTTTTTTTTTTTTTTTTTTTTTTTTTTTCTGGAGACAAAGTCTCGCTCTGTCGCCCAGGCTGGAATGCAGTGGGCGATGTTTGCTTATTGCCACTTCTGCCTCCCGGGGTTTTAAGCGATTCTCCTGCCTCAGCCTCCCTAGTAACTGGGACTACAGACACCCACCACCATGTCCAGCTAATTTTTTTGTATTTTTAGTAGAGATAGGGTTTCGTCATGTTGGCCAGGCTGGTCTCGAACTCCTAACCTAAATGATCCACTCTCAGCCTCCCAAAGTGCTAGGATTACAGATGTGAGCCACCGTGCCTGGCTGTTTATTTTCATAGATAAATAGTTGCTGAAAGAAAACTAACTTCTATGAATTCTAGTCTCCTTATTGGCTATTTAGTAGCTAGACACAGCTTTCCCTCGGGATTCAGAAATATGTGTATGATTTACAAGTTCTCAGAAAAGCCATCAAGTATAGTCTCAGTCACTGTTGTGGATGCTGCCTGTGTCGATTAAGGTCCTAAAGAGAAACAGACAAATAATTGTGTGTATGTATGAAGTGACTCAACTGCCAGTGAGGGCTGGCAAGTCTGCAGTCTGCATGGCTGGTGGGCTGGAAATTCAGGTCACGGTTGCTACTGCAGCCTTGAGGCAGAGTTTCTCCTTCTACAGGAAACCTATTTTCCCTCTTCAAGCCTCAACTGTTAGATGAGGTCTAACCACGTGATGGAGGCTCATCTCCTTTACCTAAGATCAACTGATTGTGGATGCTAACCATATGTACAAAGTACCTTCACAGCAGCACCTAGGTCAGTGTTGGATTCAATAGCTGGATAGTGTAGCTAGACCATGTTGATGTGAAAAATTAATCATCACATTCCCTGATTGTGGGATACACAAAGATTGACCCTCTAGGTGTTCGCTGCCCAAATAGAAAACTACTAGCCACATGTGAACACTTGAAATAGGCTTATTCCAAATCGAGACGTGCTCTGCATGCAAATGTACATTGGATTTTAAAGATTTCATGAGGAACAAATGGCTGTACTGAATCAGGTGAATAATGCGTTTACATGATTACATGTTGAAATGATAATGTTTTGAATATGCTGGGTTAAATTTTATTTAAATTAATTTTACATATTTTTACCCTTTTAATGTGGCTGCTAGAAAATTTAAAATTAGATGTGTTTCTAACTCCATATTTCTATTGGACAGCAATGCTCTAAAACACATTGTCCCTGGGCATCACTGGTAGACTCAATGCCCAGGTCATTCGGCCTCTTGAGGGCTACAGTTCCACAACCTAGTGATGAGGATGAGAGCAAGCCTCCTCACTGAGGTCCATGACTCCAGCGCCCGAGGCTCACCCTACACCACAGGATGCCCTGAGAGAGCAAGGTGGGCTGTGTTGTGACCTCCTTCCTTATCCCATTTTTTGGGAGAGTTTTCCAGGTGTCCTCACTTTAAGCCGAAATTTCAACAGACTCATAAGTTGTTGGATATTCAGAACTTTTAGAATCTGAACCCAGTGTCATGGCCCCTATCAAACTGAAAAACCGGGCCTCAGGAGATGTTGCTTCGACTTCACAGAACACTGAAGACAAGGTTTATGGGCCTTTATCAGGGAGGCCTTGGGCTCCTGAAATGTTTTCAAAAGTCCTCAGAGTGTGTTCATCTATGAATACAGTATTAGCAACTAATTAAATACAGGAAAATGCATAGAAAGGCATTCCACTAAGGGGGAATAGAGTATGTCTGTGCTCTGGGACTAGGATGGGGCAGCCCATCTAGAGAACTTCATGGAGCTTCATGTGGCTGACTCGGAGACGTTCAGGGACTGAGCTCCAGGGGAGGCTGGGCAGGAGGACAGACCGGGCTGACACCGGAGGGTTGTGTGTATCGGCCTCTTGCTCAAAGCATCTCTGAGGGTAAAGGGATCCTTGGGATGGTTATAAGAAGAAAAATGTCCTGGTGAATATTTCTCAGTTACAGGTGGGTCCTCAGCATCTGTCAAGAAACTGCGTGTCTGGTATTTGGTCCTCAGCTGAGAACTCCCTGCCACTGCCTTGGTCATGCCAGTAGGAACCTAGCCCACACCACAGTGACTCTCCTGAAGGGATTGTGGTGAATTCAAGAGAAAAGGCTGTGTTCTGTGTATGGGTTCCTGTGGGCCTAGGGATTCTAGAAATATGAGAGGTGTTCAGAATGTCAGTAATAAAACAGGAAACTAAAAGTGACTGAAAGCTTAAGAATATAGAAAACTTTTCAGAACAGGTACTTAGACTACATCCAGTATGTGGATGTGGATATCAATCATAACTGTCGCATGTGACTCATAGGACAGGATGAAGCCATCAGTGAGTGATGTCGGCTGAACATATCTGAGCACATAGGAGAAAAACTCTGTGTCCTGCTCTCTGCTCCTCACCCTGGGGCAGGAGTGTGGGCCTGGAGAGGTGGAAGGACCATTTCCTTCATGTTCCATGGTGTGCTGTGGAGTCCCACCCTCTGGTCATGGTGGAGAAACTTGGTCAGTCCCACCTTCCCACAGACATCAACGGAAAAAAATTATCTTAAGAATGCAATTAATATTGAAATATTAGACTTTGAAATCCATCATATTTACAAATCAAAGAGACATAGCTAAGAGTGAATTTGATGGATTCTGAAAAATCAATTTAGAACTCATCACACATTCATTATTTAAAAAAAAATCAGCAAATTTCCCTCCACGTGATAAAGTATGTCTAAGAACAACCTCGCGCTCACATGATCTTTAATGGTGAAAGAAAAAAAAACTGCTCCCTGTGATTGAAAACAAGACAAAGATATCAGCTGTAGCTGCCACTGTTCTATTCAACATTAGTTAGAGAATCCAAAAAAAGTCACTATGCACATGACAAAAATGGCCAATAGGCCCCTCTTTTGGCTGGCGTGAGCAACTACTGCTTCTCTAGTAAATATCGATTTAGCCCTCTCTGTTCCTCCCCAGTTCTGGAAAAAAGTTTACATCTGTTAAAGCAAACTAAAAATGGCCTGAGAAGGACTCTGTACTTCTATATTTGAGTCCTTGTGGACAAACTGTAACCTAACTTGAGAGGTAGATGAGATTGAAAACCAAACTTAGGAGTATGCACCTGTAACAATAGCTGAGTCTTGGCCAATCCCAGCAGCCATACTTCAACCACTCATACACTGCTGAGTGTTCAAACTCTGTTCATATAAGGCAAACGCCAACCTGTAACCAGTCCAGCTGTTTCTGTACCTTAATTCTGATTTCTGTACAACGCTTCCTTTTTTTGTCCTTAAATTTGTTCTGACCATAAGGCATTCCCAGAATCCCTGAATCTGCTGTGATTCTGGGGGCTGCTCCATTCTTGAATCGTTCATTGCTCAATTAAACTCCTTTGAATTTAATTCAGCTGAAATTTTTCTTTACCACATCCAGTAGTATTACCCCTACTTCCTGACAGCACCCACACCAGATCAGACTCCCACTTTCTTTTTTTTTTTTCCTCTTAGAATAACCCTTGTTTGAAAGTCTACTTTTTTTTTTACTATTATTTAATTTTATTTTAAGTTCCGGGATACATAGGCAGGATGTGCAGGTTTGTTGCGTAGGTAAACGTGTGCCATGGTGGTTTGCTGCACCTATCAACCCTTCACCTAGATATTACGCACCACGTGCATTAGCTATTTATCCTGATGCTCTCCCTCTTCCCACCCCCTTGACAGACCCCAGTGTGTGTTGTTCCCCTTCCTGTGTCCATGTGTTCTTGTTGTTCAGCTCCCACTTATAAGTGAGAACATGTGGTGTTTGGTTTTCTGTTCCTGTGTTAGTTTGCTGTGGATAATGGCTTTCAGCTCCATTCATGCCCCTGCAAAGGACATGATCTTGTTTCTTTTTAGAGCTGACCCTAGCCCTAACCCTAACTTTATTTGTCGTAGCCTCAGTTTCCTTATTGATGACATGGGGATCTGAATAACACACACACAAGGAATTCCGGTCTAATTGAGAAGCTATGACTGGTTCAGCATTTGCAACTCTGTATGGAAGATGGAGACTCCTCCCGGGCTTCTGAGTCCTGGAGCCATCTAGTGAGGACTCCTGAAAACAATCTGGAGAATGCTCCGCACCAACCAGGGGCAAAGAGAGGAGCCCTGCTCTCAGATGGCCAAGGGTAGAAATAAACTTTCTCAACCCCATTCTTCCCTCCCACCTTGACCCATTCAGCACATACTGACCTGGCCCTCCTGCTATCCTCAGGCCGGGGCAACCCACCCCACCTGACAGGCCTAAGAGCACAAAACTCTGTTCCATCTTGTTAGTACCTCTGACCCAAGAGCCCCCACCAGGCAATTGTGAACTTTGCATTTCAAGAAGAAAGTACCAATTTCTTTCCAGAAAGTGTTGACTTCTGGTACTGTAATTATTAAAATGCTGAGCAATGGTCATCTAAATGCTCATAGTCACAATGCTAAGCTCCTAGCAGGTACAACAAACAAACTCTGTGAAATGGTTGTCATTTAGCATCTCTGAGCACCTTCACGCCACCCCTATAGTCATTGTCAAGGCTTCTAGGACCTTGAGCCTTGCCCACTGCTTCTTCCTCCCAGAAATCCACCCCATATAACTCATCCACCTCCCTGCAGAATCATTTGCCTCTCCAACCTATAAGATGACTACCTGCTCCTCCCATGGCCCATTTTTCACAGCCTGGCCTGTTTCTGCTCCCCTCCCACAACGCTTTCTTGCAGGATTTTCATGGTCCCCACTCCATTCTGAGTCTGCTGGTCTCAGTTGCAATTATCTCTACTTCCTTTTACTCTGGGATGCAGCCTTTGTGGACTGGCCCATCCTGAAGAAACAGCTGGAGATTGAGAGATTTTGATTCATAACTGTGAATTTGGTATCTATGTGAATTTGAACAAACCACTTGTACTGGCATAAAATAGGTTTTCTAGCTCCATGCTTCTTCCCCAGAAATGTTGTGAGGAAGATAAAGACAGTGAAATTGGGACCATCAATCAAACACCTTCAGTTGAAAACCACCAGGAACACACCTGTCATGAAGCAAAGTTT
Organism: Homo sapiens; assembly: GCF_000001405.40. Taxonomy (NCBI): domain Eukaryota; kingdom Metazoa; phylum Chordata; class Mammalia; order Primates; family Hominidae; genus Homo; species Homo sapiens. The sequence continues at coordinate 52,747,351 of NC_000010.11, forward strand.
ATTTTCCTGGTACTTGCATCAAGGCAGACTGTACCACAGGAGGAACCACAGGACCACACAGTCATAGTTAGTTAGGAGGGAATTTGTATGGAATTTTGGCTTTTGCTCTGTGATTTTCATTGGGGGGGCACTCAAGAAAGTGTGAGTCTGATCTGGTCTGGGTGCTGTCAGGAAGCAGGGGTAATAGGATTGAATGTCATTTCCTTTTTCTAGAACCGGGGAGGAAAACAGAGGACTAAAGCTATAATTAGTAGAGAAGCAGATGTTGCTCATGGTTTTCTGATGTTCACCATTAGTTCATGCTTTTCAAATACATTACTCTGTTTGTTTGCTTCCACTGGAATGAAGTTTTTCTAGTAAGCTGTTTGCTGGGTCTGCAGAGCATTAGGTGTAACTTTCCAGAGAAGACAAAGGATAACTTTGGCCTTCGTCCGTTGATTCCATTGCTTGTTCATTGATTCTGTCCACAAGTATGCATGGAGCACTGTGAACCTCATCATGGCCGGGCCCAACCGAGGCCACTGGAGCTGCTAGAGTGAGAGAACTGTGGTCACAAGACAGGGGTGTGCCCCACATAGGACAAATGGAATGAGCAGCTTTCCAGACTGAGTAAACAGTGTGAATAATATATTAGAGTCCTTGTTAGGCTCCAGATAAAGAAGGTGAAGTAAAAGAGCCAAGGATATGAGGGAGGATATGAGAGTTCTTGATTGCTTTGAGCCTGCCCACCCACCCTCAGCAGACATGATTTGCCCTGGTTTCCCAGTGCAGGTTTGGTTCTGAGTGAAAACCAGAAGCATCATTTTCATGGTGTGGTGTGGGCCTACTGGCCAGGGTGGCCCTAGGTAGCTCTGCATCAGACTGGGCCTTTATGGAGAAGCTTCGTTCTGCTAGGGATGTGTACTCTTGTCCAACCCATGAGACACTGGAGGATTTCATGGCAGAAGCCCCTGATGATGTGAGAGCAAATCTCACTGTCCCCGTATATCAGTGGGAGAGGGAAGAGTGTATTTTGACAGTCCAGGTATTCCTAGTTCTCTTGTTTATAGGCAAAATTGTTTAGTCATTCAAAGAAAGTCTTTCTTGATCAAGAGACAAGGGACCTGCCAGTAGCAATTTAGCACTAGCAGTAGTCAAATGTAATGCTCTTGGCAAGTTTCATCCTAGGGTGGAGGAAAAGGAAGAGTCAGAAGTGGCTGATGACTTGGATGGGTTCAAGCCTATGAGGAGGAACTTCATATGCATTGTGGCAAGACACAGGGGAAGAGTAAACCCTCATTGTTCAGAACTAAAACAGCTGATGTCTGAGACAGCAAGAAAGATCCAGTCTCTACACCAAAAAGCCATTGAGCCATATGTGCAAGAAGCTAAAGCACACTTCAAACTAACAGGAGAAACTGAAAAAAGATTCAAGCTCACCAGAGCCACGTTTATGTCTTCTATGAAGAGTCAGGCTATGTCTTGGCAGGAAGACAGACTCAAGATCAATGAAGCAGCAGCTTTTTCCTGAAAGAAGGACTTGAGTGAGAAATTGGGATTAGGAGAACCAAGAAATGGAGATCATATTCTTAAGGAGGCAAAAGGATCCAGGAAAAGATCAAAGGATGCTGTCAGGTCACATGCCCATTTCAACATTCAAGAGAAAGAGAAAGAACCAATTTCACATCAGTATTGCCAAAGAAAAGAAGAAAGCTCACTGAGAGGTCAACACAAGATCATCTAGAAGCCTCCATGGAATGATCAGATTGACATATTGAGGAGAGAGAAAATGAAATGATTAAATGACAGCAGCCTAAAAGAAGTGGAGTGTGTGGGGATGCTACTTGTCAAGGCAGATCTTGACTTCGAGCAATAGGTAGAAAGTTCTGAAGCCAATGACCTGATGAGCCATGAAATAAAGAGTTGGAGAACTCCCAAGAGCTATTTCCTGATCTCACATGACAGCTGGAAGGAACCATTTTTTTCTAGGCAGTGCCAGATTCTGTCAATCAGGTGTCAAGCCCCCAATGATTGGCTGAGAGCTCAGGAGGTTGAAGGAAACCTCATCATCACCAGACAGGAAGTTGCGGACCTGGGACAAAGAAGAAGGGAAAGAGCCATTCAGCTCCAGCTTCTGCATGTGGATCTTCATGGATTTGATCATCCCAGTGGAGCATGTGGTTGAGATTAGGATTTGTGCCCTGATCCCTGGCCATGAAGTGCTGCTTTCTCAGAGATCGCAGAGTCTCTGGCCCATCCACTCTGACCCTTCCCTTGATGACCCTCTCCTCACTCCCCCTCCTCTGTCTCCAGTACCTTCACTTTTTCTTTCCTCTTTCCTTTTCCTCAATAAGATGTTTACTGAGTCTTAATAGGGAGTTCCTGGCAAGAAGCTATCTTCTTCCACTACCTCCTTCAAGAAGGCTTGTTGCACCCATGCCAGGCTTCTTCATCCTCAAAGTAGGGTTCTCCTCTTTTGCATCTACCATAGCCTGTTTTTTCCCCTGGATATTTGAATTTAGAAAATGGTTGTGTTATCTCTCGGTTTCATTCAACCTCCATGGGACCTTTGTCCTCCAAATTCCGAAACCACACAGTGGTCTTCAGTCATGAGTTTTCATATTTGATCCTTAAAATGTCTTTCAGTTCTCCCTCTATGTTTATATTTATGGTAGAGTCTTTTACACAAGTGGTTTGTTTTTTGTAGAATCTTGATAGTCATATAGATTTCAGGATAAATTTAGAAAATAGAGATTATTGGAAGTTATTCTTATGATAGTATACTCTAGAAAACTAGAAAAATATGTTTCCTGTAGGTTTTTTTTTTTTTTTTTTTTGAGACAGAGTCTTGCTCTGTCGCCCAGGCTGGAGTGCAGTGGCATGATCTCAGCTGACTGCAACCTCCGCCTCCCAGGTTCAAGCGATTCTCCTGCCTCAGCCTCCAAAGTAGTTGGGATTACAGGCACCTACCACCACACCTGGCTAATTTTTGTATTTTTAGTAGAGATGGGGTTTCGCCATGTTGGTCAGGCTGGTCTCGAACTCCTGACCTCAGGTGATCTGCCTGCCTCAGCATCCCAAAGTGCTGGGATTACAGGCATGAGCCACCACGTCTGGCCCTCCAGGAGGCTTTTATTGGATGAGTCAGCCTGCTTTTCTTTGAAAAACACGATATGATTTTTGAGCACTTTAGCTTTAAGAGACATTTGAAAGAGAAAACCATTTCTCTATTTTAATGTTTCTATCTAGCAGGGTAAAAGAGAAGGGTGAACTTTACTTCTGAGTTTCAATACATTAGACTTCAATTTAAGATTGGCTCCCATCTGTTCATTGAGTGGAGAGGGCAGTCTGTAAAGTGGGGAGTCCAGTAGGGCTGGACCTGTTCATAACTATTGCCTTCTGGTACTATAGGTCTCTGAAAGGGGCTGGACTCAGGGCTAGAGATTCAGTGAAGAGGGAGGTGGGCCAGCCTATAACTCCTCACCTTTATCCCACACCCCTAGGAGACCTGGGCTACTGCAGCCTTCAAACTCTTCATGTAGATGGATGAACCTATGCCCATGTCAACCCCTCTTGACAATACCATTTAGATGTTCCTATGTTAATGTCCTGGATGGCATCATGTGCCAAATCCTTGGGTGTCTGAAAATATGGCCTATGGAACAGATCTGACGAGCAGCTGATTTGACAGAGGTCAAGAATATCTTCAGGTTTGGCAGTGAGGAATGTCAGTGTGGGTATAAGAATGTGGCTGTGAGGTTCTTAGGCCAAGAGTTTTGGGTCTCAGCCCAGGCAAGTCCTACCACACAGAAAAATAGAAAAGGCTTTGCTCACCTAGATCCTGGTTCAAAGTCACAACTCTACTTGGTAAAGCATCTGTCAGAGTCTTCAACGGAGTCATGTCCTAGTTCTGTGGTGTCAGCATGACCAAGGTATGTAACAGAATTCCGGTTCCTGCAGGCTCTCTGACTACCACCAAGTCTCAGGCTTTCTTGCTCTACATAGGTCCAACATTCACGACTGCCTACCAAGAGTCCTTGAAAGATTCCAATAGGAGTAAAGGGTCTCCCTGATCCCTCACCCCCAGCACATGCCCAGGAATAGACAGGAGTTATTACTAAGACTTCCCCAAGGATGCAATTGTGAGCCAGGCCTCAGTGGCAAAAAGGCATGGGACAAGTACCAAGGCATTCCCAGAAGCCAGGAACCATCATGAGTGCTGACTCATTCTGTATTGATCAGATCATCCAGTGAGGGAAACAGAGAATTTAGATAGGCGCAGGGATTCAGGGGACTCAGACTTGGAAGCCCAGGATTGAAGTGGGTCTTGTACCTGCACACTCTATAGATGTATTTCTGCCTGAAAGCCCACCCTTAGGGAGCACCCTTCAGAGTCAACTCTGGGCAAAAGCATTGACTGGAGGAGGGGAACTGTTCTGCTCTCCTCTCCATCCCCAGACAGGGACTCTAGGCTTTGTTTTAGTTCCTGTCATTCTCATGTCCTTGTTCTTCTCTGATTTGGCTGTTTCTATCTGTGTGGCAGAGACACTCATCTCTAGTTTCAAATCATCCCTGGGCAGGTCACAGGCCTTGTGTTCCAACCTTCTGATATAGGTACCTAGTGAGCTGTGGGTACAGATTTAGCCCATGGCTCTGGGCCATGGAACATGGTCATGAGAGCTGTGAGGATGATGGTGAAACTGTGCCACATGCCCTGTGGCCATGTGGGGGTTGGCACTGGGCTGACCAGCCTCCATATGTCCTGTCAGTAAGCCAACGTATGAGCAGTGTGGCTTACAGGTGTCCACTTCTTTTTCACTGTCCTTCAGCTTCTTGGAAGGTCTAGGTGAAGGTCAAGAGTCAACAGAGCTGCTGGAGAAACCAAAGTATAGGGAAGGACATGGGCTGGGCTCTATCCTTGACTTAGCCATTGCCTAGGTGTGCCTTGCCTCCTGATCCTCTATTCCCTCATTTTGAGAAGACCACTCTGTTATGGGCAATCATGACCATTTGCTCTGAATATGGTCTGCCAGGGGAAACATTCACCAGGTGCCCAAAAAAGGCCTGTCCTGAATGCCCCTCATGGAACTTTCCTCTGCCTGGCAGAAGTCATTAGGACATTGGACAGCTCACTGCCCCTGGCTTCTTTGCCCTTCTCGCCTTTCTTCCTCTCTCTTTTACCTTAACAAGTGTCTTGCCATTTTTCTTTCTTCATTGCTATTTGAATACATTTGATAAAGGTGGTCTCCAGGCCCTGTGAGGGCCTGGCCTTGTGCAGGATGTCTGCAGGGGATGGGCATAGTGGGCCAGGATGGCTCAGTGCACACTGTGTCAAACACTGGCTTCCATGTCTGTGTGTGGATGTGGCAACTCATAGACATCCAAGAAAGGTAGGGCCTTCCTCTCTTCTGGACATGTATCTGAAACTTTGTTCCTAGTAGAAGAAATCTGAGAACTGGCCAGGTGATCAAGGGCAGGTGGTGAGGAATAAAGGACTTGTGAGACACTTCACCTCTTTCACCTCCTGGTGCAGTCCTGCTGCACGCCTCACCTTTTCATGGTCTGCAAGTTTTGCTAACTGAGATCAGGATAATGGCGTGGGATTGAAATCATGATGCACCAGCAGTCTAGCCCTGCTCACTGCTCCTCACTCTGGGGCAGAAGCTGTGGGCTTGGACAGGAGAAGGGTAGCCTTTTCCTTTCTCTTCCATGGGGTGCTGGGGAGTTCCACCTTCTGGTCATTGTGGAGGAGGCTGATCAGTGCCACCTTCCTACAGACACCAATGATTCAGCATGGGCAAATGATTTCTGAGAAAGCACCTCACAGAAGGTGCTGAAGAATCACCCAAATCAGGCAGATTCTGGAGGACAAATCTATGAAGGAAGAGGAACTGCTGGAGATGTGGTCTCTAAGTGTGCAGCTTTTCAGACAAGGGAAAGCCCGGATGCTCAGTAAATATTGAACTTCACCACAATGACACAGGCTCAAACAGAAAATCTGAAAAGTCCCACATTTGTATGACAAAATGAACTTATTCACATAGAGTCAATCTCAAGTTCAAATGGCTTTCTTGGTGAATTTTATCAACTCCAAAGAAGAAACAAACTTATGGAAACTCCATCAGAACATACAGGAAGAAGGAACACTTGATGTGAAATTGTGAGATACCAGCAATACCCTGCTACCCATAATAGAAAACAGTATCCCAAATAAAATGACAGACTAATATAGCCCATGATCTTGTTCACAAAATTGATTATAAAATATAAACATGTCAAACCAGTAACCTATGACAAATATAGGACATCATGGCCAAGTGACATTTATGCAGAATTACAAGTTCATACTTCAGTGTGTAACTTTGAAATGCACAATGGAATAATTAAATCAGGAAGACATAGTTGAGTCAGTTCAATACATTTGAAACATTAATTCACAAATTTCATCACCTATTTATTTTATTTAAAAATCCCAGCAAATTTGAAATAGAGGGGAATTTTCTCCATGTGATAAGTTACATCAATGAAGAAAATTAACCTAATATAATGTGTGAGACGTGGAAATCATTTCTCCCTGTGATTGCGAACAAGGCAAAGATATCAGCTCTCATCATTCTCTTCAATTTTAGATAGAATATTTAGCAAATGCGGCAAACAAAAGAGAAAACAGGCAGAATGTTGCAAAGAAAACAGTAGGACTTCCTTATTTACCAAAGACATGAATTGATACGAAAACATTTAAATGAATGTATTTTTAGACCCATGGAACTAATGAATGTGATTAGCATGGTTTTACATTTAAGGGTAATGTACACATTCATTTTTATTTCTATATTTTTAGCAACAGTTCATTGGAACATAGATGAATCAGTATTGTACAATGTCAGTTCTCAACACCGTGATCTCAAGAGTCAACTCCATTTTAATCAAAATTCCAGAGAAATTAACCAGCTTATTCTACAATTGATATAGCATGTATTATCTGAGGAATTATACTCATATTTTCAGACTTAAACTATAAGACATAGCAATTAAAACAGTGTTGAATTGGCATGGGATGCATCAATAAACCAGTGGAATAGAATAGATAATTCATGCATACATTTGTACATATAAGTGGTCTTTTAAACTTCCATATAGATATAAATGATCTTTAATGGAGACTGGAAATACTTTTGTACAAATATTGCTTAGATCACTGTAGATTTATTAAAAGAGATAATCTGCCTTGAATACTCCCACACACCATCAATGCAAATTAACTCAGTATTAATATAAGAGCATAATGTAAAAGTTAAGTCAAGAAATGTAAAAGCTAAGTCAAAATGTGAAAAGCTGAGTCATTTAAGAGAAAACAGAAGAATAGCTTCATGAAATAGGAGTAGTCAAGAATGTTTTGGGTAGCAAATTAAAATGCTAATGAAAAAAGAAAAAAAGTGTAGATTACTTTTCATTAAACATGAAAACTCTGCTCATCAAAAGACACCAGTGATAAAATGAGGAGACTGTTCAAAATTATTAATAACATTCAACTGAAAAAAACTTGCCTCTAGTTTATATAGAAATGCTCACAACATTAAGCATTTCATTAAGCATTAAAATGCTTACATTTTATTTATCAATAAAAATGTAAAGAAATTTTTAAAAGTAGGCATAGGACTTGAATAGAAAATGCACAAGAGAAGAAACACAAAAGTTTGATGAAGAAACTCTAAAGTATTTGATATCATTTTTCATGAGGGAAATAGGAAATCATGCTGAGATACCACTCGCACCTTCCAGAAGAAGGCTAAAATTAAAATGACTGAAAACAACAGGAATTGGCAGGAAGAGGGAACAACCAAAGCTGCCATTTTCTGTCAGAGAGAAAGCAAACAAGTACCATCACTTTAGCAAAGGACAAGGCAAAACAAAATATCTTCTTTGACCGGTGGAACTAAAGGTTGGAGGTAACAGCTGGAGAGAAATGTGGGTACCTGCCTCCCAAGTGAGTGGATTAACCTGTCCTGGCCTCTTCTGAGAACCACAGCACTGCAAATCCAGTGGTTAAGAAAGCAACGTCGCCTCTTCTGTCTGAGCTTCAGTTTTCATATCAGTACACTGGGCCTTCAGCCTTGCATGGCCAGAGCCCTCCTCCTTGGGTGTGTGGGTTTCCCTTTATGTCCCCCCAAGTGTATCAGGAGCATGTGGCTTTTCCACTGTGGTTTTAAGCGCTATTTACAGGAACCATCTGCAGAGTCTGCAGAGTTCACTGTGCATGCATACAGTTGTGCAACAGTGGCTTTGTCTGAGTCACTGATTCCACTCATTCATCCTACAGATAGGAACAGGAACATTCCAGAAGGAAGGTCTATGATCCTCTTAGTCTCTGTAGCAATCTTCTCAGAGATACCTATAGGCATTATGTATCATTTCTCATTCTAAATTAACTTCATTAATTTTTTTGACACAGGAAAGTATTATAAAAACAAGGCTACAGGGGTGGCCCCAGCTTTCTTATACAAATCTTTTCTGCATGGTCATCTCAGTCTGTGCTTTTTCACACTGCACATCCTCCATGCTTCGGTCTGGGCTGAGCCACCTGGCCAGGCTTGATGGGAATTGTCTTGGAGGAAATGGGCTACTAGGCTAGCATGAACTTTGCTTCTTATGTGAAGTGATGGGGTTGGGGTAACAGGTTGTGGTAATAGGGTGACCGGGAGTCCAGACATGGCTGTTACCAGCTCCTCTTCTCTACATCTTTCTACAGATTTCACAAAGGTAGCTTCCAAAATTATTTTTCCCTATATCTTTGTTGTTCCAATCTTTTTTATTTTTAATCTCTGCCTTCTCTACTTAAGAGACAGACAGACAGACATATCTCGTGATAGCTGCAGGATGGTTCTTTGGGAGGCCTTGAACTGACCCAGTTTTCCAACCTTTCTCACTTGTAGTTCTCAGGAATAACTTTGGAATGCTCTGGTAATGCAGCAACCTGAGATATGTCAGAACTGGTCATGGCAGCCCAGGCTCTGCTCCTGTCCCACTTAGGAACGGAATGTCCTTCAAACCGTAGTTTATATCAAGAGGTCCTTGAAAATGAAACACTAAGACAAGCTTCTACTGATGAGTAGGAATGGAGCAAGCAGCCAAGCATTCTCAAAACAAAAGAAGCAACTGCATCCTGCATCCCAGGATGACTCATCTAGGATCTCTCTATCTCTGTCTGAAGTCCACCATTACAGAGCACGCTTTTAGGTCCATGACTGATGAAAAGCCTTTCTCTATGACTCCTTCTTCTCCACAGCTCCTGCTAAGGCAAACCTATCTGATAGTTCCGCTTTCACACATGTGGTTCTTACACTCAGGTGGGAGATAAAAAAGGATGGATTAGGCACTAGAGATACCTAATGGCCATGGATGGAATGTGTTACATCACTTTTGCTCACATTTGCATTCCTAGAGCCAGATCACTTAGTCCCAACCCAACAAAACTGCAAAGGATTCTGAGAAATACTGCTTCCTGTGCTCCCAAGGAAAAGAAATGGTGCTGGAAATGAAGCCCGATTTCTGCCATAGTGTATGAGAAGATACCACTCAGGGGATTTTGCTCTTTGGGGACAGTGATCATAGAAATGGGGGATAGCTGAAGAGTTACTGGGTGGAGGGTACATTATTTTTCAGATGAGATATCTTATACCATGTCTGCGTCCAGTTGAGAAGGATGAAATAGAGAAAGAAAACTGGTAAAGCAAACTGAGTTACTTGCTGAAGAGATATCCTTGAGTCACTGAGAGGAGGGTAAGATTGAGAACATGAGTAACTTGTTTGGCCTTAGAAGAGAACACAGACAGTTCATCCACGAAAAGAGGAGGAAGGCCAGAGTTTGTGGTCACTGATGGAGGCAAATTGGGACATTTGGTTGTGAGAAAGGAAGTTATTTTCTGATCGTTTTCAATTTTGCAGCGAAGTAAAAAGCAAGATCTTTAGGCAAGAGTGAAGACTGGAAAGTGTGGAAGGCTTAAGGAAAGAGGATAAGGTTTAAAGTTAGTTATTATCTGGAGGCATGGCAGAGTAAGGGAGAGAAAACGCAGCAGGATTACTGGGTAGCACTTGGGGTTACTTGATGTTAGAAGTCATTAATTTACAGTGAGAGAGGCATCATGATTGTGTATTTTTCTATAAGCAAGGCCAGTTTTTGAGGTGCGGGTAAAGAGTAAATTGAGAGTAGAATTTTGACACGGTTGAAATTTTTGACCCCCAGGACACTTAAAAGAGGGAGGGAATTATTAAAGGAAGTGGAAATTGCAAAAGAGTGATTATAATAATTAGCCTCACCATCTAAGTATGCAGGAAAAAAGTGAAGACATGAGGACAGTGAGAGGCAGTGACACAATAATTGGCTCAAGGGTTACACGGTCCTAGGAAGTTCAAGAAGTGTTGTTGTCTGGTTCCAGAAGGAAACGAGGTGAAGAGAACAAAATTACCCCCACAGATTTATCTGTGCATTTGAATTTCCAAAAAAGTGTACCAGAAAGTTCATCATTACACTGGTGACTTTATAAATTCAGCATTGTAAATTCCATTCCCTATCTGTGGTTCAAGTCAGTTCAGTGCTATGAACTCAGGCTGAGCTCACTTAAATACCACACAAGGCTACGGCAAGTCCACTCCATGCCTGCCAGTTCCTGTGTTTGTCGTGATCCGAACAGTCAAGTGAAACCATAACATTAGAAGCATGTTTATATCGTGTCATATGTCATTTTCAATTTATTTTAAGCTTGGATTCTTTTTTTTCTTTTTTAGAACAGCTTGATACCAGAAGAGTTTTGGAAATGATACTGTGTGAATAAAGCGTTAGCAAAACCCTTTCTCCTATTCATGAAATTTGACCTTGGGTTAACTTTCTAGTTCTGTTTGCCTGGAACCCTGATCAGGGTGGAAATCCAGCAGTGTTCATGAGCAATATTGCTTATAAAAATGACCTGTGATTGAATCATGAACTGCTTCAAACTGGGAGGACAGAATCAAGTAAAATATCAGTTTTGGAACCATAGTTTTGGACTTTCTGAAGTGCGGTGATTCTTGTGTCTCATATGTCCCTTGTGGAGACCTGGAAACTTTGCCTATGGAGCTATTGTCATAACATATATTGGTTCCTATCAGGAATGAGGGAATTTTAAGCCAGGGTCAGTTCTAAGCCATTACTGTACCTACTTGTGTAGGTCTAACTCGGTCACACCTGAAGTTTCCCTGGAGGGGCAGAGAGCAGCCCCTAGACTGCTGTGTGACTCCTGTCAGGCCTCCTCTCACTGCAGAACAATGTTTGGTGCTGTCCTAATGGCAGGCTGTGTTCCCTCTCCTATCTTTCTATCCTTCTAAATGAGTCCAGGGCTAAGTGTGGCCTATGATGAGTCTAAATGCATAGTTGTACTAATAAGATGGCAGACTGCACATTGCCCCTGGCTGTCATTTGTAAGTATATATGCACGTCACTCAGTATTCTGACATTGTGCAACCCAAACCCAATATGAAAAGGTAAACTGAATTCGAGGGTTTACATGAGACTATAGTTATCATCAATGACTGGATTTCCAAAATTTTTATGTTTATTAGAGCACTCTGTCTCGTGTAAAGGAATAAATTTGAATTAAACAATTACTTTTTGATGAAATTGTTCTTTAACCTCTTCTATGTATTTGTGTTCCCTGTAAGATTTTGATTGAAATAAAATTGTCTTTACTTTTGCCAAGTAGAAACATCCGCTGCTCTGTAGCTGTCACATAGAAGATGCTCCTGAACCTACCTGCATGCTGACAGTGTCAGGGAGCTCAGCACCCAGAGGCAGGATACTCCACTCCCCACAGCGTCATTGCCTGGGTGTCAGCTCTGGAATGTACTTGAAATTGTGCCTTGCCTCTGCTGCTACTGGAAGATTTAGTGGTTGCATTATAAAATATTCCTTCTAATGGGAGGGGTCAGAAGCAGGAAGGGGAGGTTAGTATTATGCAAGAAGTTTTAACTGGACTATCTATCTGCCAAATGTAGCATGGGAGGGGTGTGTGTGCATGTGCGGGTGTGTGTATCCATTTCCAGCCCCACTCCACAAGTTATCTCATCATTCATGAGTACTTCCTGTCATTCTTCCCGTTGGCACTCTCCAGCTGAGACCTCTGACACAGACCACATCATGGATAGGAACAGAGAGACCCACTGAGATCCTGGGTTAACAAATGTAGGAAGAGAAGCCACTCTTGGTAGGAGGGAGGTTGAAATCAACTGATTGCAGACATGGGTGGGAAACAGACCCTTAGTGCATGTAATTGATAAAGATGCTGTTATGAAAGACCCAGAATTGGGCATAGACATCCACAGCTGCAGAGTTTAAGGGGCCAGCATCAAAATGACCACATCTTAGAGCAGACAGGAGTGGGACAAAGATACTAAAGGACACAGAGAAGGATCAGCCTTTCAAGGGCCTCCAGGAATGAGAGAATTCTGGTGCTCATGATTTCAAGACATTCTTCATTCTCCAGGAAAAGGTGATCCCATGGATCCTGAAAGAGGAGCAACTGGAGTTTGCCTCATAACCCGCAGACACACTTTATAGGAGAGGGGTGCTACTATTTGTGGTGGCCACTGCATAGAGATTGTCCAAAGGACAGGCTCATGCCTCCTTCAGGAGCCTGTAGTTTTTCATGAGTCCTGAGCAAAAACTCCTGTGCATACTTGTTTTAGTTTCCTAGGATGACTGTAGTAAATTAACACAAGCTAGGTGGATTAAAACAACAAAAATTCATTTGCTCCAATTTCTGGAGTCCAGAAGTCTGAAATCAAAGTGTTGGCAGGGCTACACTCCCTTTAGACACTGTAGGGGAGGATCTCTTTCTTGCCTCTTTCAGCCTCAGCTTTCTTCTTCCTTCCTTCAGTGTTTGCAGATGTTTCTTTGCTTGTGGCTGCATTGCTCCAATCTCTGCTTCCTCATTCCTTCCTCTTCTTCTTCTGGACATCTGTCTCCAAACTCCCCCTGCCCATCTTGATACATGTGATTTTATTTAGGGCCTGCAATGGACTGAATGTTTGTTTCCTCTCGAAATTCCTATCTTGAAATCCTAACTGTCAATATGATGGTATTAGAAGTTGTGGCCTTTGGAGGTGATTAGGTCATGAGGGTGGAGCTCTGCTAAATGAGTTTGTGCCATTATGGAGTCTGTGACTCTAGAGAGCTCTACCAGTCTCTTTCTACCATGTGAGAGCACAAGGAGCAGTCAGCTGTCTAGAACCTGGAAGAGGTCCACAACCTCATCGGAACCCGGCCATGGTAGCATGCTGATCTTGGACTTCCATCTTCCAGGACTGTGAGAAATAAATTTGTTATTTATAAGTCACCCAGTCTACAATACTTTGTTACAGCAATCTGAAATGGCTAAAAAAGAGCCCAACCAAATAATCCAGGGTAATTCCTCCTTGCAAGATCCTTAATTTAATCATATCACATATAAGATAGTATGCACTATTTTGCCCTGTAAAGTAACATTCACGGGTCCCAGAGATTAGAATATGAATATATCATTGGAGGTTACCTTTCAGCTAACAACAGTAGTTTTCATACAAAATTTGGCAAACTGGTAGGCCCAAACTAACCATTACTATTCAGATATTGGTGCCCAGAAGGGTGCTCTGAGGGAGCAATCCCGTTTCTGGAACAAGCATTAATCTTCCTGACTTTCCTGGTGATGCATGTGGAACTCACATAGTGAGATAGGACTGCACAAAGTTTATGTTATTCCATTTCCTATCCCGTTCATCTCCACGCACTTTCCTCTGTCTTGTCCATCAGGCTCCTCTGGGTAGCAAATGTACAGTTACAGGGGTCTCATTCAGGTAGCGCAATTTCCTGGGACTGGGGCCTCCCTTAGGCCCAGGTAGGTGTGTTACTTTCCTCATGAGACATACTAGGCCTGTGTTCTTCAGGTCCATGAGGGTGGTGATGGACTCATGGACACAGAGTTCACAGTGGGCGGCCAAATGACTGCCTGTTGCTGGCAAAGGTCCTATTTCCCTCCATGATCATGGATTCCTGCAAGATCAGAGCTGGAGAAGAGAGGGATCACAGTCAGGCCTTTGATTAGAGTCTGGCTTCTATGCATCTATGAGTGTTTGTATGTTTGCTGTATACATGTTTATTTTGTGTGTCTCTTGGGTGTTTCTTGTATGTGTGCTTGTGTGTGTGTAAGGAAGGGTATGGTACTGCCTCATCATCTTTGTTTTATGTATCATTCTGTCCTTCCATGTGAAAGTGGTTGCCTGTCCTCAGCAGTTTCTTCTTTTGGCATCTCTAAGTGATGCCTCTTGAGGTGGGATGATAAGGGGAGGCAAGTCTGAAAGGAAGAGCTAGGTTATGTAACACTGGCCAGAAACTGGGAGAGAAGAACAAGAGGAATTGCTTGAACCAATTTATGACCTAGAGTATGGATTAACACATGGAGAATATGCTTGATGACATGAGTTTTGAGTGAGACAGTTGTGAATTTTCAACTTTCTAAAGCTACCTCACGTGAACTGTGAGCTCGCTGCGAGTGTCCCAACCTCTTAGATTCTCTTTTCCTCTTTTGTAAAATGATGTTTTATGAGGTCATGGTGCAAAGTTTCTAAGTACAAAATATGGCACATAAAAGGTACTCAGAAACCCCTTCTACAAGTTTTTCTTCACCTCTTGTTCCACTCTGATTCTCCTGTAAAGATTTAAATCACATGGCACCCAACCTGTACACACACCTAGCTCACTCCTGGTCCTCTCCCAGCCAGCTCCCCGCTACTCACTTTGGTTGCAGTGACAAAGTCCTGCTGTGGGTTACATGGGCTCATTGGGCTCCGAAGTTCCCCCTCACCCTTAGCTAAAAGCCTGGTGTCTGCCTGAGGGTGGCCTGCAGCTCCTTGCCCAGATTGGCCTTCAGTACTGTGGAGACACCTTCCTGTGAGGTCAACGTCGAAGCCATCATTATTCTCATAAATGTAGCAGGACCCAGCCTTTGAATCACACACACTACAGTAGCCCACTCCCTCCTCATGAATCCCCCAGTGGGGATGTGAGCCCAGACCGCAGAGTGACTTTTTATGGAGGTCCTGGAAAGCACATGAAAATATCTCAATTCATTCATTCATTCATTCTCTCTCTCTCTCTCTCTCTCTGTTTTTCTGTCTTCCCAATCATAAGACTGAAGCTCAGAAGGATGTTTTCCAGGGAACAATTCAGTCTACTGTAGTATACACAACAGGAGTCTCCACTGCCAAGTGTATTTGTTTTCTAGGGCTTCCATAATAAACTACCACAAACTGGGTGGCTTAAAACAACATAAATTTATTCTTACACAGTGCTGGAGGCTAGAAGTCTGAGAGCAAGGTGTCACTAGGGTTGGTTCCTACTGGAGGCTCTGAGGAATATTATTCTATGCCTCACTCCTAGCTTCTGATATAGGCCATCATAGGTAAACAGCCCTGAGGAATTAGCAGCAGTTTCCTGGCTGAATGGTTCATCATATTCTGTGTTTTCTCATAGAATGGACGATTTTAGTAGAAAACAAGTTTGTAGGCAGACGTTTCAGAAGAAGTTGGCAGAAGTTTCTGATACCAGTATTGTCCACAATCTTTGGCAGTCTTTGTCTTAAAGATGTGTCACTCCACTCTCTGCCTTCTTCATCACACAGCATTCTCCTTGTGTGACTGCGTGTCCAAATTTCCCTCTTCTTAGAAGGACACCAGTCAGTGGATTAGGGCCTGCTCTAATCCAGTGTGGCCTCGCCTTGTCTTTATCATAACTGTAAAGACCCTAATTCCACATAAGGGTGCATTCATAAGTCCTGGTGGTTAGGACTTGCATAGATTTTTTTTTTTTTTTTTTTTTTTTGCGACACTATTTAGCCCACAACATTAAGGAATGGGAATTCCTGACCAAGGACACTGAAGGTGGTCTATCCTGTGTTTCATTTCTTCTCCTTTGGTCCCTGGCCATCCCTTCCCAGTTCTGTCTTTTTATTGCTGGCTTATAGCAGTTGTTTCTGTATCCTATGTATCCTTTGACAGATGCAGGCCAATATTTGCAAATATTTTTCTCCTAGTCATGGTTTGCCTGTTTTCCTAATGTTTAACAAACTGAGTTAATCTTTAATTTTGATGAAATTCAATTTATCATTTTTTACTTGAAAAGTAATTGAGTTCTCTAAGACAATTTTGCCTAATGCTAAGTTACAAAGGATATCTGTACATTTTAAACCTAGATTTTTTTAGTTCTTCTGAAACAAAACTTTAAAAGAAGACAGCGAGCAAGCGAGAGACAATCAGAATGTAAAGAGAAAACAATGTAACACAAAGGAATGTAGCTCTTATGATCCTTTGTACTTGTATGTTATCAGTTGTCGTGTCTCCTCTCATTTCTGATTTTGAGTCTTCTCTGTATTTTTCTTAGTTATTTTAGCTAAAGTTTGGAAATTGTATCATTTCACAAAAATTAACTTTTGAGTTTCATTGATCTATTTGCTTTTCTACTCTCTATGTCATTTATTTCTATTCTGATCTTTGTTATTTCCTTCTAAAAGGGCAAAATATTAGTGAGAATACAGAAAATACAAAGAAGATTCATATCCTGACCTAATGATACACTAATCAACTGTAAAAACCACATTATTTCTAGTGCACATAATACATTTACCATTCTAAATCATAAACTGGATCATAAAATAAAATCTTAACAAATTTCAAAAGATTGAACTCATATAAAAGTATATTTCTGGATACAGTGGAATTAAACTATAAATCACTTACAGGAGTATAGCTTTTTAAAATACTCAAATATTTAGGAATTAAACCACACACTTATAAATAAACCATGAGTCGAAGAAGTCACAATGAAAATTATAAAATATTTTGAATTGGATATGAAAAACCTATTTTGAATTGGTGGGAAAAGATACATATCCAAACCTGTGGTATGCAGCTGAAATAGTTCTTAAATAAAAATTATAACTTTAAATGATTATATTAGCAAAGAAGGAAGGAAGAAAATCAGTTCTCTAAATGTCAATTAAAAGAAGCTAGAAAAAGAATGGCCAATTAAACCCACAGAAGATCGATACAAGAAATGATAAAGACAGGAACAGATATAAATAAATGTAATCATAGAGGTTAGTAAACACCAAAAAGAAGTTTTTGGAAAAATTTAATAAAATGGACAAATCCTTTGCAAGATTGATTAAGAAAAAAAGAGATGGGCCAAGCACAGTGGCTCATGCCTGTAATCCCAGCACTTTGGGAGGCTGAGGCAGGTAGATCACCTCAGGTCAGGGGTTTGAGACCAGCCTAGCCAGCATGGCGAAACCTCGTCTCCACAAAAAATTAAAAAAATTAGCCAGGAATGGTGGTGGGCATCTGTAATCCCAGCTACCTGGGAGGCTGAGGCAGGAGAATCTCTTGAACCTGGGAGGCAGAGATTGCAGTGAGCCAAGATCGTGCCACTGTACTCCAGCCACTCCAGCCTGGGTGACAGAGTGAGACTCCATCTCAAAAAAAAATACAATAAAATAAAGATAAAATGCAAATAATCATAACAGATACATAGACATTGCTATAGATCCTACTTATATTGAAAAGAAATACAAAGATATTGTAACAATTTTATGCCAATACATATATATTCAGAGGAAATTGACACATTCATTGAAAAATATAACTCACTGAAACCGAACAAAAGACAGAAAACATGAATAGGTTTAGATCATGAGGAAATTAAATCTGAAATTAAAATCATTTCCCAACAGAAAACACCATTCCAAGATGGCTTCACTGGTGAATTTATCTAACATTAAAGTATAATTTTACACAAATTATTTTAGATAATAAGGAGCATGAGAGCACATCACAGCTCATTTTAATGAGGCTTACATAACATTGACCCCAAACCATAGCAAGTGCATTAAGGAGGGGAAAAAAAGCTAGTATCTCTCATGAACATAGGTGCAAACGTTCTAAACAAACTATTAACAAGTCCACTCCAATAATACATACACAAGATAAAATGTGACTAAATGGAGTTTATTCCATCAAAGCAAGGTTGATTTAATTTTTAAAAATCGATATGTGTTATGTATAATATCACATTATCTCATTAAAAAGCATGTATCTAGCGGCATAACTGTGTGTATTAAGACCTAAAATATAGTATCCTGATACTTTACTACACACTTTAAAGGTGTTAACTTATTTCATCATCCCCACAATTTTCATGAAATAAGAATGATTATTTTCTCTCAGCTGCAAATACATGGCTGAAACACAAAGTAACTGGCTCTAGATCATGTAGCAATTAAGTGACAGAGCTGTGAATCCAGTTTAGATAGGCCTGACTGGAGCACTTCATTATATTGTCTTTCAGGAGTCTATACCTGATCTGGTGGTCTCTGTATTGGGGTTGCTAACCAGTGCAATAAGGTAAGAAAAAAGGTAAAGCAATTGGGAAGAAGCAAGTATTGCCATATTTTCAGCTTACATGACTATGCATATACAAAATCCAGAGGAATCTACAAATTACTAGATTTAAGAAATAAACTTATTGAGTTTACTAAACATCGTAAGACTACACACAAAACTTAACTGTATTTCTGTGTACAACAATAGAAAAGAAAAAATATTTAAAATATATTATTAAAATCACTAAAACCACCAAAACAAGATATACAAGGTTTTTAAACTAAAAATGTCAAAACATAGCAATTAAGTTAAAGAAATTCTAGTTACATGAAGCGATACATGATGAACATTGATTAGAGATTCAGTAGTAAGTTGCCAGTTCTGCATAAGTTGATTGATAGACTCAATGTGGTCCCAGTAGAAACCTCATCAGGATTTTGTAGAAATTGAGAAGCTGTTTCTAATATTTATATGGAAATCTTGACTTTAAGAAGAACAAAGCTGGACTATAGTTACAACTATAAATGTACAATAATTAAGATAGTGTACTGTTTGACACAAGCATCAACAAATAGACTAGAATAGACAGCCCAGAAACAGACACACACACATACAGTTACCTAACTTACAAAAATGCACCACCCTAGTTCAGTGGAGGAAAAATGGTCTTTCCTACATAGTGCTGTCTCAAGTGGATATCTATTCTACCAGGAATAGATAGAATGTTTATTAATAAAACTATTAGAAAAAAATGGAAAAATATCTTCATGATTTCAAAATCATGAAAAATCTCTTCATGGTTTCAAAATCATGAAAAATATCTTATGATTTTGGGATGGGCAAAAATTTCTTAAACATGACACAAAAAGCACTAATTTTGAAAGAAAATATGAATAAATAAGACTTTCTCAAAATTAGGAAATTTTGTTCATCAAAATTCAACATTAGGAGCAAGTCAAAAACTAGCAAAATATTTGTAATACACATTAAAAAGGACATATTCAGAATGTAAAAATAACTTAAAAATCAGTAAGAAAAATATTGGCTAACTAATTTAAACAAAATACAAAAATGTGAACGGGTACTTCACAAAAGAAGATACCCAAGTGCCCAATAAGCATATAAAAAAGTGTTCAACCTTATTACATGTTGGGGAAATACAGATTAAAACCATGGGGAAATATCACTTTACATCCACAGGAATAATGAAAATCAAGAGAACTGAAAACATTGACTTTTTACAAGCACATAGAGCATCTAGGACTGCCACACATTGCCGGTAGGAGCATAAATTCATACAATCACTTAGGAAAACTGGTAATATCTACTAAAGCTGAATACATGCTTTCCTCATCCTCTACCAGTTCCACTCCTGGATAGGTAGTGAAATTAGTGCACCATGTCCACCAAAAGACAAGTCCAGGAATGTTCGTGGGTTCTCTTCCTCATGGCCAAAAATTGGAAGCCACTTAAGTGCCTATTAACAATAGAATGGATGAACTGAGGAATATTAATATAAGGGAACCCTACATGGCAATGAAAAGGATGAAACTTTTGTACACATGACATGAATGAATCTCACAGACTTAATTCTGAGTAAACAAGACATACAACATTACACACAATATGATTCCAACTATACAATGTTTATAAACAGACGAAATTACTGTGCAGTCATGGAGGTCAGAATAGTATTTTCCTAGGAGTTAGTACTAGGAGGAGTTATAACGGGGCTTCTAGGGAGTCAAAAATGTCCCATATCTTAATCTAGAAAGTGAGTATATAGGTATGTATGTGTGTGAGAATTTGTGAAGCTGTTTGCTTGAGATTTGTTATTTATGTTCTTTACATGGTTTAATATCTCATTAGAAAGAAAACAGAGTTCATAGAGAAAGTTACAAAATAGATTTTCTTAATACCTGAAACTTGGTAAAAAGCTGTGGTATTAAACTGTGGTGATGTCATTAGGGGAGCCCTCTACCCAAACAGAAAGGAAGGCTCAACAGAGCACAGGTGTTTGTTGTAAATGGAAAAATAAATCCGTCTTATTTTCATACTGCAGCAAGTTAACACTATCGAAAGCATTACAGATTAATTAAACTAGATAATTAATGTAGGATGCAAAAGATAGGGCCTCATAGTATATATTAAAAATATTATATAATTAGCATGACTACTACTGCTGCTGCTAACTACTACTACTACTATTATTGCTTTGTTGGTGCTGT
This sequence comes from Homo sapiens, assembly GCF_000001405.40. Classification (NCBI taxonomy): domain Eukaryota; kingdom Metazoa; phylum Chordata; class Mammalia; order Primates; family Hominidae; genus Homo; species Homo sapiens. The sequence continues at coordinate 52,767,999 of NC_000010.11, forward strand.
TAGTGATCATTTTTAGTGATTGCCCACAAAAGGAACAATACTGGATATGAGGAAATTGATATAATTTATCTTTTCAAGCATACTGTGGGCCTGTGGGTTGCAGTAAAAAGACAAGGAGGGCCTGAGTGATATGACCCTTCAGATAGGGAACTCACAGACGGCCAGATGGGAGGTGGAGCAGGGGACGTCATTCCACTGGCCATTTTTCAGTAGCAATACACAATCTTCATCAGAACCAGCATTGTTGGGTTCACCCTCGTTCCAGTTTGTGTAGGTCAGTCTATTTCCTGTCAGATCCACAAACTGCCCTTCTGTCTTCTCATCAGTGATGCCCAGGAAGGCTTCCTCCTTGATGAGATTCTGAATGGCTCCATTCTCTGCAGCATTCCTGGGGGTGGCCACAGAGGCCTGGAACTTGACACACAAGGCCTTCACTTTTTCAAAGGTCATTATTTCACCATTGGTCAGGAAGAACTTGTTCCCAACTTGTTTGCCCAGAGAGAAGGTGAGCCCTAAAATGTGAAAAAGTGGGTGAAACTGACTCATCCTTAAGCCCAACTCAAGGTATTTCTCAAGAAAAAGTCTTCTAGAGTACAGTTGCCGGATAAAATATAGTATGTCCAGTTAAATTTGAATTTCAGACAAACAATGAATATTTTAGTATATCTCCCATATAATTTTTCAGACACACTTATACTAAAAATGTTTTTCAGCTGAAATCCAATTTAACTGGTGCTTTGTCTTTTTATTTGTTAAATATGGCAACCCAAATGTGAACAGACAGACTGGTACAAAGGCCTCTCTGTGCTTTCAGATCAGAATTCTAAAAGACATATAATTTGGACTTCTGAATTCTAAATTGTTAACTTGAGACCAAACAAAAAATGTCTGAAAATATTTGCCCCAGGCAGGTTAGACCCCACGGCCAGGTCTCAATACCAGTGCAACAAAGGGATATAAGTCCCATTTTCAGTGAGCAATATCAGACGGTAAAGGATTAGGGTCTCTCGAGTCAGACTGACTTCCATCTATAAACCACCCCTGCCATTTATTAGCTCTGTGCATTTGAACAAGTAATTTAACTTCCCTTTGCCTCCATTTCTACCAAAATGTTGTGAGAATTTCATGAGGTAAGAATATGAGAAATGCCTAGCAGGGTACAGAAAATTATATGCATTCAACAAATATTTGTTGCATTCTATTTTTCCCAAACTTCAAGCTGCCTGGAGAGTAAGAGAAAAAGCTTACACTTTTTGATACGTGCCATTTCTGTTTGCAGAGCTTTTCTTTCTGAGGCAGCCAGGCTACTATCACCATCTAGAAAATTAGAACAAAGTAAAGAAGCATTGTTGAGAAGGAGCCTCAGAACTGTGCATATACAAGGGAGTGGAGTATCTTTTTCAAACTGAAAAAAAAAGCTTATTTTACATTGATGTTTACACTTTGAAGGAAAATAAAAAATACTGAAAAGCCCAAAGAATGAAAAATCGCTATTTCCATCCAACCCCAAATGTCCCTCTTTGTCTGTTTACTGTATCCCAAAGTACGCATACATATCACATGCACACATATACTCCCTGATTACCTAGCAATCCATATGCCAGGTTCTTCACAGATTTTTTTTTCAAATAAATTGTTCTATCAAAACTAAAAAGAAATCTCTTGAGGCGTTACTCTATTATGACCTGGTGAAGAGTGACGAAAAAGATTGCAGAGTTTTTGTCTTTGGAGAGGTTTTGCTTTTGATGTCTTTTGTTTTGTTTTTGTTTTTTCCAGGTTTGTTCTGTTAGTCAGGAAACCAAGATTTTTGTGAGTTGCCCATTATCCAAGTGGGGAGGGCATGAGCAAATCACTTGTTGTAGTAGATGGCAAAAATGGCCTCAATAGGGTACAGCTCCTCGCATTAAGACATGAGTCTATTACCCCACTCCTTGAATCTGGGCTGGCCTTGTGACTTGTTTTGACCAATACAGTCTGACAGAAATGATAATGTGCTCTGAGTCTTCAAGAAGCCTAAAGCCTATCTTATTTCTACTCTTGGGAATCCTGTAATCACTGCTATGTGAACAAGCCCTGTTGGATGATGAGAGATGTGGTTCAATTACCCTCATCACTCCAGCTAACATTCAGACAACAGCCAGACACATGAGTGAGACTATTGGCCATCAGTTGACCACAGACATGTGGGTAAGCCCAGCTTAAACCAGCAGAGAAATCACATGGCCGACCCACAGACTTGTGATTTAAATTGACGGCTATGTTTTTAAGCTATTAAGCTTTGGCTTGGTTTCTTATGAAGTAAAATATGACATACCATGGTTACATGCTTTTGTAAAAATAGGTATAATAAGCCCACACTTAGATGGCCTGTTTTCTCCCTCTAGGACCAGGGCCTCACATTAGACTGTTTCAGCTGATGGAGAATCCAGGCTCAGCTCTTACAGGGAGTGCCTGATGAGGGAGTTGTCTTGAAAAGTTTGTAAGTCTGTACTCAGGCACTTATAGGAATTCCCTAAGGCTCTAAGAATGAAGAGAGGGCTGAGGGCACTGGGTCAGAAAGCAAATTTGGGTATCTTCCTTTGAAGGAACAGGAGAAGGGGCACCTCTTACCAGATACTCAAGGTCTCAGAACCCTGGGTGAAGTCAGCTCAGACCTTGCTGGGGTCCTTACCCGGACTTTTTCCAGGGTCTCCTTTTTGGCCCTTTGGTCCTGGTGACCCAGAAGGCCCTGGATTTCCTGGAGGCCCCAACTTTCCAGGGGGGCCCTGTAAGCCTCTGAGCCCTTGGCCTGTTGGAAGACAAAGGAAATGTGACTTAATATCTATGTTCTTGCTCTCTCTCTTCAAGAGTTTGATGCCCAATCCCTTCTCAGGAGAAAGGAGACCTTGACCCAGGACTGACCTTTCTGAGCACTGCTCTCAATAACTGTATGGTGGGCACCTGAGAGCAATAACTTAAGAAATAAAGTTGCCACGTGGAGGTTGCTGCAGGGAGGGTGCAAAGTGAAAATTAACTGCATTTGTTTTTACCAGTAGTTGTTGTTCTCCTGTCCAGCCCACTGCTGCTGGATCTCCCTGTAAACAGATTCCCCCAGTAAAACCTATGTTTGTTTGCTGACTCCATCTCTTCTTTGGCCTCTTGAACCTGGTGCCATCCCTACTGAAGTGAATAGGGGTCTGACATGACAATGACCCAGAGAAGAAAAATTCATCCTGTGTCCCACGGGATGGCCTGACCTGTGGGCCACTTTCCTGGGCTGGCAAGACAACTATTAGTCACAAACTGCTGTGTGGAATTCTGAGATGCCAGAGAATGAGAGCTGAATCTCTGTTTTGAGTTACAGTATAGTTGAGAAAAATATACTCAAATAGGACATCAGTCTCCTCATATCCCCAGGCAGTTTCCTCTGGAAGGTAAAGAATTGCAGAGACAGAACAGCCCAACACGTACCTGGTTCCCCCTTTTCTCCCTTGGTGCCATCACGCCCATCTTTGCCTGGGAAGCCGTTGATGCCTGGAGAGCTACAGGCAATCACTGCAGGGCAGGTCTTTTGGGCATCCTCACAGGTCACAGTTTCTGAGTAAGACGCTGCCACCATACTCAGGAGAAGGAGAGGGAGTGATGGAAACAGGGACATGGTCCTCACCTTGGTGTGAGAAAACTCAGGGAAGGTTAATCTCAGTTAATGAACACATATTTACCGAGCATGCCCTCTGTCCTACAATCTGGGTGCAGGCTATATAGAAATAGATGACCCATCCCTGGCCTCTAGCTGGGGATTTGGAAAAGTAAACATTCCTTGTGACACTGCGTGACTAGTACTTTAACAAAGGTAGGCACTATGATGAGCAGTGGGGATCCTAAGGAGGGGTTCATCTGTGCCTAGACACCTGGCGTTGCTGCTGGAAGACTATAAACATGCTTTCGGTGGCAGTGAGAACAAATGGGACCGTGCATTGCCAGCTGGCTTATGCCTGTTAGCTTAGGGAATGAGAATGAGTGGAAACCCAGGTGTCTGTAGGAGCTTCCTCTTTCTCTCCATGTCCTCTTCGGGTCCATCTGCCACCTGAATCCCATCTTTGTATCTGGGCAGCTGATTCCCCTCCAGGACCTGTTAACTATCATTTACTCATTGGCAGGCCCTGAGCTGAAAGCTGGTGATCCAAAGAGGAAGGTCTCAACCTCAGATCAACCTCAACCTTAGTCACCAACCCAGCCCAGAATTAACTGGAGTTTGCTTCCCCTTGGTGTTTTAGACAGGCTTGCCTGGGTAAGCATTTTCTCTGGAAATTTCTTACTACGTTGGCCCTGGCAGAGTGCTAAATACCTCTCTACTTTCTGGCAGGAATTCCCCATGTTCTGTGAGTCAAAAACCACTGGCAATTAGAAAACTTGCCTTGAATCCTCCTCCCATTTCTCAGTATTAACCTTTCATTTGTTCTTCAGAGCTTTCTTCCAGCTATTGCCCCCTAAGAAACCTCAGCAGCCTAGCCCCATAGGTCTAAGCCTCCAAGTTTCCCTTTGAAAACAAAGACAGTCTCCACTGCAGATGAACAGATAATGGAGGAAAGTCACAGATGCTCCAGCACAAGCAGAAAAAGAGACATCCTCAACCTGATTTCTGCTTTCCATCCCACTCCCCCCACCCCTAGAAAGCCTCCTCCATGCCTCCAGGGTCATGTCAGCTCCCCAAACCCTTGATCCGGAAACCCAGATTTATTCACCAGAAATGACTTACTGGTGTTTCTGCAGAGCAGGGACTCAGTGACAAGGACGCTGGCCCTCTAGCCTGGGGCTCTGGCAGATGCCTCAGAGTGAGGGAGGAGGCTGGGCTCAGCAATGTAGGGCCCAATCAACCTTGTGAACAAGGATATCCTGGGCCTGGCCTTCAACTCCAGATTAATAAACAGCTCTTCTCAGAACTATGAGAAATTTAGGAGCCTCCAATACAGTGCTCGGCAGCTGTCTGCTTTAATACAGCACAATTCCTCTTTCAATTGCCATCCATTTTGGCAAATCTCATTGCTGAACTACCACAGCTAGGTTCACCTAGTTAGTCCTGTTGACATCCTTGTTTCCAACAGAAAAACAAAGATACTCACAAATGCATACACATGCTCATGCACACCAACTATACACACAGACACGTGCATGCACGCACACACCCATCCATGAAACCACATAGACCTCTTGCTGCCATTAATGCATTAAGGCCATTCCTGCCTCAGACTCTTCATTTGATGTCTCCATGCCTGGACCCCTTACGGGCATCGCCAGCTAGCTCTTTCTCTTCTATTCAAATATTCCAATTTCAGAGAAATCAGTACCTTGATCACTTATTCTAAAATAGTCCTACCTAGCAGTCTCTATCCTCTTAGCCTGAATTATTTTCTCTCATGTTACTTACACTTTATGATATTATAGTCATTGACTTTACTTTTCCAGTTTTTCATTGTGGTAAAATAGACATAAAATTTACCATTTTGACCATTATTATTAAGCACACAACTCAGTAGCATTAAGTACATTCACACGGTTGTGCTATCATCACCACATCATGGGATGATTTTCATCATCCCAAACTGAAACTCTCAACTCATTAAACTAGAATTCTCCATTTACCCCTACCCACAGCCACTGGTAACTTCTGTTTTACTTTCTGTCTCTCTGAATTCATCTATCCTAGGTACCTCATATATGTGAAATCATACAATAGCCCCCTTGTATCTGGCTTATTTCACTTAGCACAATGTCTTCAAATTTCATCCTCATAACAAGAATTGTAAACTGTGTTAAAGACTTTGGGTTTCCTTCCAGGGGGCACTAGAGGGACTGCAGTAGTGGAGAGGTGATCACATTTGAATTTTGCAAGGCTTGTTCTGGCTATGATGTTGAGGGGAACAGGACTGGAGAAAAGCAGATCTAAAAGGAAGTGCTTGCCATGATCTAAGCAGCAGAAGACAGTGGCCTGGGTCAGGGTAATGGCAGCTAGATTAAGAAGGTAGGCACACTTGAGAAACAGGAGGTATTGATTGCACTTGAGAATTAGCTAGAATAGTGAGTGATAATAAGAAGTTTTCATGGGCACACACATTTATGACTTGACTATCTAGGAGCCACTCAACTGAGATAAGAAGCAAAAGAACAGCACTTGGCACTATAAGATCATGGGTATCGTGTGTGTTAATGGCTTGAACCATCTTGCTGTGGTTAATGGGGACAATCTAGAAGGGATGGAAGAATACTTTTACGAACATAGTTCATTTGATTCTCAACTACATTACTGATATGGCTTTCAGAAAAATGCCATGTAGCTTGGGGTGTTGGGGAGCCCATCCTGAGAAGTTCAGAGGCTGCGGGGCCATGTGGTGGGGGTACTATGGAGGCCTCCAAACACCAAAAGAAATGTGAGTAAGATGCATTTCCAGGTCCCTTCCAATTGAAGTCTTCTTGGCTTGTGGAGGGACTGGCTTCCTTACTTCCTGCTGACCTGTCTGCTGTGCCTGGAAAAATGTCCAGGATGGTACAGAGCCACATGCCTAAAGCCATCAGTGGATATCAGGAGATCCAGGGCCTAAAGAAGACAGGGCCTGAGAAGACTTGTTTCCCTTCTTATTCTTTAGCAGCCAGAGCTTCCCCCTGCTCCTGCTCCAGTGGCAGAAGGTGAGGTGAGGTAGTTGACTCCAGGTCACTGGCGGTGCTGGCTTTAATCACAGTGCTTGCTTTCATTGTTTACCTAGTCCAGAGGTCAGGAAACTGCTCTCCAGACCCTGAAATTTCCTAGAACTGGGTTCAGAGGGTGTGGGTATCTGGGGGAAAGTCAATCTAGCAATTGATCCGGAGATTGGAGTGTCACCCAGTTACATCCTGCTCTCCAGAAGGCCTTTCCCAAAAGGAGAGGCCACTCTCCACATGCCGCAGCCTGAATGTCTCTCTCCACACGAATGCCCACTCTGCACTCCACCCCATAGATAAGGCCACTGTGTGCATTTGTTCTGGACTTTAAAACCCTTCCCAGCCAGGCGTGGTGGCTCACTCCTGTAATCCCAGCACCTTGGGAGGCCGAGGCGGGCGGATCATGAGGTCAGGAGATTGAGACCATCCTGGCTAACACAGTGAAACCCCATCTCTACTAAAAAATACAAAAAAAAAAAAAACAACAAACTAGCCGGGCGTGGTGGCGGGTGCCTGTAATCCCAGCTACCCAGGAGGCTGAGGCAGGAGAATGGAGTGAGCCCGGGAGGCGGAGCTTGCAGTGAGCTGAGATTGCACCACTGCGCTCCAGCCTGGGCGACAGAGCCTCTCCGTCTAAAAAAAAAAAAAACTTTCCACTTTCCTAACACTGCTTCCATTCTGGCAGCGCCACAACAAATCCACCTCACCCCAAGAGGCTGCAGAGAAAACTGCCTCTCTGACCTGCAGGAGGACTGCCTGGTGCCCTACATCCCCTTTTTTGTAGACTAGGGTGAAATCCCAGCTCTCCCACTTCCCAACAGTGTGACCTTATTCAAGTTCCACTGCCTTCATGTCCTCAGTTTCCTCGTCTGGGAAAGAGGGCACCGCTGCCTTGGCTGTGGAGTGGTGTGTCCTTAACTGGTCCACATTCAGAGTGCATGGCACGTGGCTCACCATGACAGCCTGCTTAAGAAAGGCCTTCATTCCCTCCAGGGTGACTGTTCAAGAGTCTTCTCAGCTTGGGAAGCAGTGTTCTTGGGTGGCTCCATGTGAGAGGCATGGTTTGAGATTGGAAACCAGAAGGCTTGGTTTTGTCTCATGAATATGAGCTTAGATAGACCCCATATTCTGGCCGAACCTCAGTTTTACATCTTTCAAATCAGATTTTGAACCTCATTCCCTTTTCCACAGAGCTGCTGTGAGTAGGACAATAGCAATGAGAATGTTATTGCTCTCCAAGTGAGGACCATCAGGAATATGCTTATAGTCAGATAAAATGGATTTATTATTTTTAGTTTCTTTTAACTGTTTGTTCCAACAGGGATATTGAGCACAATGGTGTACCCTAGGATTTCTCAGTAACAGGGTGTCGGGAGGGGATTTCTATAAGACTTGTTTTGTTTTAGTTGGTTTTGGGGGAAGGGGTTTAAGAAGCAGGAGTCTGTTCTGGATAGGGTGCTGTCCGTAAGCTGGGCAATTCTGTGATTGTGCATCTTAACTTTTATTTAGGAGATAAGTAGAACAGAGCAAGGCGAAGCTGTATTTTGTAAAAGAGTGGCAGATGTTTATATTAAGCAGGAGAGGGGCATGTTTTTCGTTTTTGTGGTTCACAGAGCAACCTTTTCTGTCTATATGAAGACATGATTTTGGAATGATTTGGGATCTCACAACAGAGTAATATTGTTGTACACCGGTATTCTGTGGAAGTGTTTAGGGTCAGCAGGGAATACCATGGTCTGGCCATGAGAGACAGGCTGTGAGAGACAGCTGACAGCGGTAGGCTGCTTTCTTGTTGTCAGCAGTGTCCTTTGTAACCCTAAGGCCTGACCTTCCCATACTTTTCATCCTGTACTGTCCTGTGTTCCAGTCCTGCTATTTTTTCTTTGCTTGTTTTTGCTCATGAACTCTCTGAGAATGTGTAAATGTCACAGGCCTTCTTTTTAACCAACACAAATACACAGGCGCACTGCATCTGGCAAGGACTACCTTAGGCCCCTATAGCCATGGGGTGGGTGGTCAGAGGGTGTCATATCTGCCCATGTGATAGAGACATGCTTATCTGTGACATGGCCTTGAACACAGGGTGGCTGCAGTGAAAGGCAGCTCAGTAGTTAGGATAGCAAAGACCTGCTCTTTTGCCACAGAAATCAGAACACATGTGGCTTTCAGACTCTCCTCAGACATTCCTTACTGCCATTCTTCCTTCTGCCCCTTCACTCCCAGGCCTGGTATATTCCTTCCACCAGCGTCCTCCCTCTGGGGCAGCTTCCCTCTCTAAAAAAAAAAAACAAGAATTTCCTAGTGGGTGACCATCATTGATAGGTTTCTGGGGCCAGGGACACTTCTTGTCCAGGCCCATTCTCTGCCTCTGCTTTGGCTCACCTGGTGACCTAGAGCAGCATGTGTCAGAGGTGACCAGACAGGCTACACCCCCAAAAGGAGGTTGCTCACTGCTAAGATAAAGAGCAGGCTGAGAGGGGCACGATCAGCACAATGGAAAGATAAGGACCAGAAGCACACACTACTGGCTGCAAAATTATTGGAAAGGAATACCAGTAATTTAAAATAAGTATAATCAATATCCATAGAAAAATCAGTGAAGATACTGCCCACATGACACAAGCAAGAGGCAGTAGAAAAGCAATGAAGTAGAAATATTAACATGGACATTAGCCATTAGAATAATAAACACGATAGAAAGTGCAAACCATCAGGGTGCATATTGCTGAAGAACACACGGAGAAACTGCAAGAGCAGAGCAAAGGACTCTTGCAGGACTGGGAAACTGGAGAGATGGAAGTCAGGGGGTTAGAAACAGGAGATTTGGCGTATTAAAGACAAACAAGCAAAGCTTTCTGACACACAAAACGGAGTTGGAGAGATGGTACTCCTGCATCTAAACCAACCAGTCCCACAGATACCAGCAAGGAGGAGTGGAAGAGACAGAGATGGCAGCTCCCCAGGCCTGAAACTGGGAACATAGGGAGGATACCGCAGAGAGGTGCTCACCTTTCGAGGCTTACCAAAAGCCATGGCACAGTGAGTGCTTGGGCTCTAACCAATTAGATCACCAAACCGCCTTCCCTGTGATGGTTAAAAATCTAGATATTTAGGGTAGGATCAGAAATGTAGGGAGTTGGGCAGAAACACTCTTCTTCCCAACACCATCTCACTTGATTCTTGTGATTAGCTGCATGTAAGAGCCAAGCCTGGGTACAACAGGGAAAAAATCATAAGTGACCCCAAAGAGCTTCCAATATCATGAGGCAGCTTTCCTGGTACCCTTCCTGCTCTTTTCTACCTTCCTGGGACCAGAGACACAGAAAGCTCAGATGTAGATTAATGATAGATTAATTGCATTATTAACGGATTAATTGCATCATTAATTTACCTAAGATCCCACACTGTACGCTTCGACAAAAATTCACCCTGTATGTATCCATGTGTGTGCGTGTGCATGCACTTGTGTACATATACTTGTGTATGTGCTTGGGAGAGGGGGAGTATCTGAATGGGAGTCTGTGCCATTTCTTAAAGTCTGTCTCCCCACCTGTGATTAAATGAGCTCACCTGTAGCTTTGCGAGGATGAAAAGGTTTAGCACTCTGGAGCCAATCAGGAAACAGACATCACACAGTGATCTAAACAGGGGTAGTTTAATATAAAGAATTATTAAACCCTGATTAAAAAGTATAGAATGTAAGACATTCTGTATGGTTCAGACCTCACTGGAGAAAGGGTAGTTGAACCCACTGGGTGGCTGTGCTAATTTTTTGGGCCAGAGCTTCTCTGCAGTTCTGGGACAAGCAGGCATCAGCCCCCCTCCGGAGCACAGGTGGGCCAGGCAAGCCGCAGGTCCTGGCCGCAGTGGTCGCGCCGCGGGAGTGGGTCGTAGGTGCAACAGGCGGCCCGGAGCGCGGTGTCCCTGTTGGGAGGGGCACCGCTTCCCTAAGATTGCGGGAGACACACCTGGGGGAAGAGGGAGGGACGAGCAGAGGCAGCACAACAGAGGTGCAGGCAGGAGGCTTCGTGCCTCGGTGTCCCTGTCGCGAGGGCTGCAGGGGGTTGGTGGCGAGGCCAGGGCGCAACTGCAAGCCCCCGGATTCGCGGCCAGACTGCGCATTCCAACCGCGGTGCCCCCAGATGTTCCCACCCGCCAGGCCGACTCCCGAGGGGGCCTCCCGAAACTGCAGGAGCCCCCTTCTTCTTGCCATGTCTCTCTAGCGCCCTCTACTGAGAAGCTTTGCATCGTGCTCACTCGAAAAACGCTGAAAGGAATTCTGTGGTTTAATCACAGAGCATGTTTTGAAGGGTAAATTGGGAGCTGAGAGTCCTTTGATGCCTGGCACAGTAGGTGTGTCCGCATCGTCGTGCACACGGTAAGTCCACAGGCCCTGTGTGCTCCCTTTGTCTGCAGCTGTGACATCAAGGGTCCCTCCAGCCCGGCCTCGCGGCAAAGCTGAGCAGCAAAGGAAGGCAGAGGGGTGGGCCTTGCCGGCTTTGGGCCCAGAGGCTGGAGGCTGGGCTCCCTCTTTCTTCCCTTCCTCCTTTCCTCTTTCCCTCCTTCCTTTCTTCCTTGCTTCTCCCTCCTCCCCTCCCTGCCTCCCTCCTCCCATCTCTGTCTCCCTCTTCCCCTCCCTGCTTCCCTCCTCCCCACCTTCCCTCCCTCTTCCCCTCCTTCCCTCCCTCTTCCCCTCCTTCCCTCCCTCTTCCCCTCCTTCCCTCCCTCTTCCCCTCCTTCCCTCCCTCCTCAAGCACAACACATCCACATCGGCCCCCAGCCCAGCGCAGCTTTAAGAGACCCACTTACCTCAGAGGAACCCAATCAATCCCCACAAACACCTCTCTAGAATAGGAAGATGGAGATACAGGTGAGTCTGTCCTGGACAGAAAAGTAGAGACCCTGGAGGAGAGTGCGTTGAATTGATTGAGAGTGAACTGCCTATTGAATTGGAGGTGGGGGACGGTCGGGGAGGGTTAAGGGAGACCTTCTCTTCCAGAAGGGCCAAGGAAAGGCTGGTTCCACAGGGCTGGCTGGGCTACAGACCAGCTGCCTCTCCCCTCTGCATACAGTTGGGTACCCAGTCACCAGACCCCCCAAGTGAGGGGGTCAGGAAGGTGTCACGGACAGATGTACACATATCTCATTTTCATTCCACTCCATCCTGACCTGAGGGTTGTGACTTAGACAAGCGCCCTCATCTTGTTGAGCCTCAGTTATTCAGCTGTAAATGGGCGGAAGGAGAGCATTTAGTAATGGTAAATATGTAAGAGTGCTAATCGGGAAGCTCTACCCACTGAGAAAACAAGAAAAAAAATTCTTGGCGCTGAAAGAGGACCAAGAAGGATTGCTTTCTGAGATAGGTGCGGACAGACACACGCAGACCTAGAATAACGAGGTCAGACTCACCCAGGAATACTTGGCCCCAAGTTGACTCCCCTGTTTAAAGAGCGATAGAATGGTGGAGAGGGAGGATTGTCTTCTCAGGCGGCTCTGTATGGCCTCCAGGGGCCATGGTGAGGGATGGGGGTATCCTGGCCCTGAAGGCCCAGGGCACTTGAGGGAAGAACAAACTTTGCTGTGTCCCACAGGGAAAGTATGGGTCAGCCCTGCCATCTTGTGGCCATGCTTAGGACTGCAGGGGGCCAAGGGATACCCTGAGAGATCAGAGTACATTTCAAGGAGAAAGAAAAGCATTGCAAATGTTAGGTGTAGTAAAGATCTTGGCATTTGAAAGACTAAATCCAGACTCGGGTCTCTGGAACTTCCCAGGGTGCCAGGCATCTCGCAAATAGTAGTGCTGTCTCTCCTCTCCTCCCTTTCCAAGATGTGAGCTCTGGGCTGCAGATTCTGGGCCTGGATTCTGGTCTCCTCGTTCTGGGAGCTGCTCTCTGGGCTGACCCCAGGGCCTTGATCTAATTTTTTTCTTTGAAACTTGAGTTCTAAATTTGGGGTCTGGTCCCTGTCCTGACTGTCTAGCCTCAGTCCATCTATCTCTGGGCTTGGTTGTTTGAGATCATGGCTGAAGGTTAGGAGATCAGAGCTCCTGGTCTCTGCTCTGGTCTCTGAACTTAGACCTCGGGAATCAGGACACCAAGCCCTTGGTCATGGCTCATGCTACGTGGATGAACTCTGGGCTCCATTTGACTTTGTGGTCTCTACCCTCTGGATAGGCAGGAGTCTATGTTGTAAGCCCTGAACAACCAGTCACTGGATCTGCTCCAGGTCAGGTGGCTCTGGGGTCTGCTGGCTGGTGCTTCATTTGAGGCTACTCCTCCTCGAGGTTGTTGCTCTGGGCTGTGGGGTTAGGATTTTAGCCAGATTCTTCATGCCAGGCTGGAAACACAGGTAGCAGGTCTTGCATCTTGTAAAGGATAAAAGAGGCTCTTGCAGATACACAGGGAGCTGGGCCTGCCTGGACACTTCCTCCTCAGGAACTGCCCTAGGAAACATGGACCTGGCCAAAGATTTGTCCTGGGAGGATTGAGGGCCCACAGGCACATCCTGAAGAGATGCAGAAACTTGCCCATCCCTGATGTCTCAAGCCAGCCCAGATATAAACACAGAAATGGAGACAGACAACTTCAGACATTGGACTGTGAGATGAGGAGAGAGGGTCGGGCTCACTGTGGTCATCCTATCCTGTATCTTTCACACTGCCTGAAACATGGGACCACAGCAAACATTTGTTAATCAATAAAAGCAATGAGCTATGAGAGAAAAATTAGAAAGATGTAGAAGGACAAAGGGAGGGAGAAGGAACAGGCATTTGTTGACTAACTGATATGTGCTTCTGTGTGCTAGTTGCTTTATAGGTAATACCTCACTTAATTCACACAACGCCTTGAGTTGGTATACAGTATGTCATCTGTGTTGAGGTGACAAGGCCCTTCCCAGGTTCCACGATTCACTAGGAGGACTCCTGGGACTCAGCCTATAGTCATACCCATGGCTATAATTTATTTACTTATTTATTTATATGAGACGGAGTCTTACTCTATTGCCCAGGCTGGAGTGCAGTGGCACAATCATGGCTCACTGCAACCTCTGCCTCCCGGGTTCAAGCAGTTCTCATGCCTCAGCCTCGCAAATAGCTGGGATTACAGACATGTGCCACCACACCTGGCTATTTTTTGTATTTTTAGTAGAGACAGGGTTTCACCATGTAGGTCAAGCTGGTCTCAGACTCCTGACCTCAGTGATCCACCCGCTTTGGCCTTCCAAAGTGCTGGGATTACAGGCATGAGTCACTGCACCCAGCTATGGCTATAATTTATTATAGTGAAAAGATGCAAAGCAAAATCAGCAAAGGGAAAAAGGTGCAGGAGGTGAAGTCTGGAGGAAACCAATTGCAAGCTTCCAAGAGTCCTCTTTCAGTGGAACCACAGAGGGTATGCTTAATTCCTCCAGCAACAGACTCTGACAACATATGTGTAATATTATGTACGAGTGAAGCTCATTAGAGACTGAGTGTCCAAAGTTTTTATTGGATGTTGGTCACTTTCTGCCTAGCATGCACCAAAATTCCGGACTCCTAGAAGGAAAAGAGGTGTTTAGCATAAATCATATTGTTTGTATAACAGTTTAGGTACAGTGAGCCACTCTTGTAAGTTCTGGGAATGGTGGGAACTCTTGAGAAATACAAGCTCCCAGACTTCAGCCAAAGGCCAACCTTGCAAGTAGGCCTCTAAAAATAATAGTCTCGGGCCTACTGTGTGCAATTTTTCTTCACCTTGAGTATGACTGGTACTCTGCCTTTGGACTGTGAACCCAGTGTCTCCTCACCAGAGGGTGTCCTCTCATCAACAGCCTCCAGGGTGTCAGTTTGAAGAAATCACAGAAGGAGGGCTGGACCCTGTGGGGGCCTGGAAGGAAGATAAATTTGGGGAAGATTAATATTTAAAGGTTTGAAAAAACCCACCAAGGCTAACCAAAAGTGCTTAAGACCTGCAGAATCTGTATGAATCTTAGCACTGGATATCCCCCTGTGATGTGGGGTGCAGGGTCAGACCCAAGCACTTTACAGACTGTATGGCATTTAATCTCTCCAGGCATCCTGTGGGTGTCAGAGTAAATGTCCCCATTTCTCAGATGAGGGAAGAACTGCAAATACAACCCAAAGTCTGCTAGCCTTTAAAGCCATTATTTGCTCCTCAGTCCAATCAATATTCTGTGTGACCATGGCTCCAACTGACAACATCTGCCTTTTTATGTCATCACTAGAGTGTGACTGGTCCACTGTGAGTTCCTAAACTCCCCTCACATCCTTTTCTTGCAGAAAACCTCCGCTTCCGCCTTCCCAGGCCTACTGCTCTGCCTTTGTTCTTTCACTTCTTCAACATGGCAAACTCTGTTCCTGCTTCTGCCTCAGTGCAGTCTGGCCCACTGCCTGGGATGCTATACCTTCTTCTTTCTCATGGTTTCTTTCCCCTACTACAGGACACACATATCTCAGAATGGTGGATGATTTGTGAGTATTTCGTGTTCCTCCACCAGAGGTAAACTCTTGAGGACTGGCAACCACTCTGTAACACATGAAATGTCAACCTATGATCAGAGAATATGAAAATCCAGAAGTGCTTGGTATTCTGGGCAAATTGAGCTCTGTGAATAATATAGAATTGCATTCGCATCCTAGTCAACCATGGGATAAGAGAAGCCTCAATGTTCAGACCAAGGACAATCAGTGTCTGATCCTAAAAGAAAGATACAGGCTCTAGAAAAAGAAATCTAATTCATCACAACACAAGTGGAAGATGCCAAGACACACATGCTTGAACCTATCACAGAAAACTGAAAAAATTCTCATCATTTCCATACAGAGATCCAGCACTTGTGTGAAGAGTAAGTTCAAGTTTCTGCAGGATTGTTAGCGCAAAACCGAAGAACTGGCAGCCTCCCTGGGAGAGGAGAACATTGGTGATAATGTCCAATCAGAGAATGGAGATCATGTTGAAACTAGGCAAAAGGATCCTAGAGGAAACTGAAGGGTTTTGTAGGGAAGTTGGACGTTTAAACATTGAAA
Organism: Homo sapiens; assembly: GCF_000001405.40. Classification (NCBI taxonomy): domain Eukaryota; kingdom Metazoa; phylum Chordata; class Mammalia; order Primates; family Hominidae; genus Homo; species Homo sapiens. The sequence continues at coordinate 52,783,699 of NC_000010.11, forward strand.
ATAGAGGAAAATTCAATCTATGCCAACGTTGCTGAAGAAGAGTACAGAAAAGCTGAACGGACAAGTCCTCTGAAAGGGGCTCAAACTGAAGAAGCTGAATGAAAAGGTCAGATCCGCATCTTAGAGGAGAGAGGAAATGAAATGAGTGAACTCTATCAGCAGAAAGAAATGGAGTCTGTGTCTCAGTTATTACCTGTCAGGGTAGATTATGACTAACAGAAAGAGGTGGGAAGTTTTGAAGCCAAAGACCTGGTGAGTCGTAAAAATGAACTAGAGATCTACAGAATAGATTGTAAGATATCAAAGAAAAGCTGGAAATACCATTTCTTCTTCTCAGGGACAGATTCTGTCCTTAGAACTAAAAGTTAATGGTAATTGGTTGAGAGCTTGGGAGGCTGAACAAAATCTCATCCTCACCAGACAGGAGGTTGCAGATCTGAGGTAAAGAATAAGGGAAAGATAAATTCAACTCCAGCTTCTGGCAGTGGATCCTCTTGTATTTGTTGATTGTGATGGAACATTTGGCTGGGAGCATTTGCTTCTCAGCCCATAGGCATGGGATGCCGCTTCGTCTGGGATGGAACGGCTCCATGCCCCTCTGCTCAGCTTCCAGGATGTCCTGTACCTTCACTTTACCTTTCAGAAAGAAGAAAGGTGTTTGTCTCAATACATTTTAGTTGATTTAGAGAATGGCTGTCCTAGTCAGTCTGGGCTGCTATAACAGAAAAACACGGACTGGGTGACTTAAACAACAGACAATTATTTCTCACAGTTCTTGGGGCTGGGAAGTATAAAAACAAGGCACTGGCAGTCTGATGTTTGGTAAGGGCACTGCTCTTGGTTTGCAGAAGGCCATTTTGTCATTGTATCCTCATATAGTGGAGACAGAAAGAGATTATCTCTTTCTTGTCTCTTCTTATAAGGGCACTAATCCCCTTGTTCAGGGCTCCACCCTTATGATCTAATTACTTGCCAAAGGCCCCATCTCCTAATACTATCACCTTGGGAATTTAGGCTTCAACATATGAATTTTAGGCAGACACAAACATTCAGTACATAGCAATGGCTTAACCCCCAGAATTCACTAGAGGGAGAAGTGTGTGTAGTGATGACTCCAGCAGGGCCCAGAGAACTCTGATCCCATGCAGGTCTGGTGCCCTGGATGCTCTGGCTTTGCAGGGTCCTGAGTGGGGCTGGATGAGGCTCAGCTGTGAAAGCCACAGGAAGGTAGCTCTGGCTGTGATTCCTCAGCTTTGCCTTCCTTACAAGGGGGACCAGACCCTTAGGGTCACCAGGCTCTTCATCTGGCTTTGTGGGACTGCCCCAGTGGCACCCCCACTTCACAATGCTGTCTCAGGCTGCAAGTGCTGAGACCTGTCATTTGAACACCGGGGTGTCTGGAAGCCAGGTGACAGAGTGTGATGTGATTTAGTGGTGCCTACATGCTCATGTGAGGCAGATCAACCTCGTCCTCAGAAATGATACAGGAACTGGGAAGACAGTAGAGAAACTTTGCCTTTGGGAGAGGAAGAAGTTGCTAGGCTCCCAGGTCTTGACTCCTGCCTTATAGTTTGATGGACCAGCTTGAGCAGTCCCAGGACCTTGGGCAGTGGCTGAAGTATTTCTGATTAGAGGAAAAGGTTAGGGTTGTCAAGGAAGCTGTTCTGAATGAGTACACTGTGGGTGGGACCTACTGACATTTGCACTGGGCTGTCGAACTTTCAGGCTGGGTCACCTGGAGTCGGTGATACTCCTTTACTGGGCCCCAAGATTCTCTCCAGTAAAATGGCTTCCTTAACATAGGAATTGCCTCTCAGGGTTCTTGGAATGTTACAACAAAGGTGACGTGTTAAGGATGGGCCCCAGCATGTGCTCAGCTTGGTCATCATTCATAGTAAGGATTCCTCATGGATGCAGGGCTGAGCTGGGCCTATGAGGACAAGCAGGACTGGGTCTGACAGTGGGGGCATAGAGGAGCAGGGTGGCCTGAGATGGAGGCAGCATGAGACCTCACCCTGTTCCTATCAGATCGGCCAGGGAGGGAAGTTCCCTCCTGGCCAATCAAGTGACTCCTGGATGGAGTCCAGAGGATTAAACTTCCTTTACAGGGCCCAGCCAGTAGCTATCAGTCGACCAGCTTTCCTCAGATCACTCCCTGGGCTTCTGTGTGGACACAACAGAAGAGGCGAGTTCTGTGGAGACTTATGCTAGGTTCGGTTGTGAGTATCCACCAAGAGGGCTGCTGGGAAAACCTATGGATGTTTTCATCTAGTGATGAGGTCTCACTCTACCAAACTGTGAACTTCTCAGCACAGGGCTGAATGCTGCTCATCACCGAGCCCACCCAGTACAGCCCTAGCACAGAACAGGTACTAGCAGAAGGCCAGGAATGACAGAGCAAGAAGGAGTCAACTGTTAACAATTCAGGGCATCTCCCAGCTCCTAGAACCCACGGCCCAAAGCCACTGACCATGGGAGGGGAAACTGTGAACGTGACTTTGCTTCGTACAGACCCAAGGAGATTCTCTGTCCCATATGTCTGTGGTAACAGGATATCCCGCTCGCCACCTCTGGGATGGACCCTGCATTATTCTTGGACTCTGATCTTGGTTCCCAGGAGGGAGAGGTCAGGCTCTGCATGTGGGATCCTTTGTATTGGTCACTGACTCTGCTTCAGGCTCAGCCTTCTGGCTGTGGGCACTGGCTTGACACTGACTCCTGACTCCTGGGTTTTAGGGTGTCAGCTTATTTTTCTGGGCTTTGTCCTTGGTACTATGCAAAGGTTGGATCTGGGAGTTTAGCTGTGGCCCCCAATCTCATCCACTCCTTGTAGCTTCCTTGATCAAGCTCTGGTTACTGGAGTGTGGGCTGCAGGTTACGGGCTCTTCCCCTGTGGGCTCTGTTCTGTTCACTGATGAACAGACCCTCTCTGCCTTCTGAGCTCAGGAGGTGCTTTCAGAATCGTAATCTCAAGGCTTATCATGTGATTCTTTGATTGTGACTTTGGAGTAAGAAGAGATGGACCCTGGGCTCAGGGTTCTTTCTGATGCTAGGGAGATCCTGAGGAGCTAAGTGTGAGAAAAGGTGATGATTTAAGGCCCCAAACAGGTGGAGAGTGAGGGAAGAAAGGAAGGGAAACCACTGGATCAGCATTTGCTTGGCCGATTTGGGAGTCATGTCAGGGCCTGCTTCCTCCAGAGCTGGGTCAAGCTCCAGAAGTGACCTCACCTGCCCCAGGCCAGCATTGCTCCTTCCTGAGATAGGTCATCCTCAGTAGTGACCTCACTTATCTAGCCTCAGTTTTCTCAACCTCACCTGCCCCAGGCCAGCATTGCTCCTTCCTGAGATAGGTCATCCTCAGTAGTGACCTCACTTATCTAGCCTCAGTTTTCTCATCTGCTGCATGAGAAACTGAATAGCACCTACGTGGAAGGAGTTTCTGTCCTGTCGGGATGCCATGACTGGCTCAGCATTTGCAACATTGGCCTGAAGGTAGGAAGGACCCATCCCAGGGTAGAGCATGGCCTAAATTAGGTATACTTTTTGGTCTGTACTTTCTCTTACCAAACGAAGTTTTGTTTTATTTTAATGCTTTTTGTCTTGCTGTTGTTGTAGTTACATATGATCTAACATTGTTTAATATTTATATCATATAAATCATATATATGTATAATAAATCTTATCAAGACTCCTTTTTTTTAGTAAGTCTATAAATCCACATTCCAAAATATGCCAGGGCTTTTGATATTTTTCCCTCAGAGTCTTAAGTGATTTTTGGATATTGCTAATATTGCCTGACTTTCCAGATTGCTTGTATCTCAGAGTTTGAATTTACCAAGTTACAAAAAATTCACATATAAAACAAGCCAGGAGTTTCAGAAGGTGTATATATGTGGAATGGCTGGATGTAACAGGAATATCCTAGAGCTATTCACTGAAATTATAAAAAATAAAAATTTCCCATGCATCTACAATGGCCCTTCATTTTGTAACATCACAGTAACATTCAGGTGCCAAATAAAAAGGGGGAAAGTTAAAAATTCCCCACCCCATAACTCAGTTCAACCAGTTCAACCTAGTTCTGATTACTTTTCTCAAAGTCTCCCTACCAATATTTTTTCTTATTTCATTCTTTTATCTAAACATTAAAAAGTCATGTTGATTTTTCTTTTGCAACATCTCACATATGTTTTTGTAGCTTTATTTGTAGATCCATGAGCTCTTCTCAGGCATTGTTACTTCAGCCCTAGACTTCTGCAGTAGCCCCCTGACACATCTGCTCATCCTCTCTCACTGGTCCTTGTTGCTGTCTATTCTGCTTCCACTGCTGTGTGAATCTGCCCGTTGTAGGCTTTGCACACTGTGTTAGTTCATTCTCACACTGCTATAAAGAACTACCTGAGACTGGGAAATTTTTAAAGAAAAAAGGTTTAATTGACTCACAGTTCCATGTGACTATGGAATTGTAAGTCAATTGAAAGTTTTCTCAGGAAACTTACAGTAATGGCAGAAGGCAAAAGGGAAGGAACATACATCGTACATGGTGGCAGGAAAGACAGCGAGGGAGAGGGGAACTGCCAAACACTTAAACCATGAGATCTGATGAGAACGAACTCACTATCATGGGAACAGCATGGGGGAAATGGCCCCCATGATCCAATCACCTCCCACAAGCTTCCTCCCTTGACATATAGAGATTATAATTCGAGATGAGATTTGGGTGGGGACACAGAGCAAAACTAGATCACACACAGTTATTACTCCTTTAAAAAGTAGTGCAAAATATAAGCATGATTATTCCCAAGCTCTTCCACAATCTAGTCCAAATTAACTGCTCTTCTTTATTGCTTATTTTTTTATTGTGACTCTGAAATAAACTCAATCAGTGTTCATCCTGGCAGGACAGTCCATTCAGATTTCCATGTACTGGGCATTGGATGTCTTTGATTCTCCAGAATCTCTTTCCTTCTGATTCTAGTAAATGAATCCCTCTTTTCTGTGGTAAATTGTTTCTATGTGGTTCAGCTGATTTGCTCCCCCTTTACCACATGAAAAAAGGATATACATTCATGTCCAGCCTGTATATTGCCTATAGATCACCATGATTATCTCAGTGATGGGAATATTTTGTGAGTGGGTATATTTTGTGACCCAGGGAAAGAGATTGTAAGGAAAGTACAGGCTGGAGACTAAGAGGATCATCTTTCTGGCTGCTTAGAAAAAACCTTTTTGAGAATGAAGGCAACAGGTAGAATAAGAGCTGAGAGATAGAAAATGAGATAGAGTCCCAGTCATATTATTCTCTGTGAACAAAAACCACTTTTACTTTTGATACTGTGGAGCTAACAGTCTGGGAAAATTGGTAGGAATATTAGGAAATGTTTGATTCTTATGACAGAGACTCACTAAAATGACAGGGTTTTTTTTTTTTTTGCGGTGGGAGAGGGGGTACTGAGTTTAGCTCTTGTCATTCAGGCTGGAGTGCAATGGCACAATTTCAGCTCACTGCAACCTCTGCCTCCCAGGTTCAAGCGATTCTCCTGCCTCAGCCTCCCGAGAAGCTGGGATTACAGGCTCACACCACCATACCCGGCTAATTTTTGTATTTTTAGTAGATATAGGGTTTCAGCATGTTTGCCAGGCTGGTCTCGAACTCCTGACCTCAGGTGATCTACCTGCCCCGGCCTCCCAGAGTGCTAGGATTACTGGTGTGAGCCACCGGGCCCAGCCGACAGGTCTTTTATAAAACCTAATTCTTTTTTCCTGTTCATGAACCCAACTGCATTTCCTAGCACTCTTTGATATTAGAGATGGCCATGTGACTTTGTTCTAGTCAATGGAGTGTGAGCTGGAGTCTTGCATCATCTACAGACTTGGCTCATTAAATACCTCTTGCATGTGAATCTCCACGTTCATTTTTCCTCCGAAGTCAAAATGCAGATGTTTTATTTTTCTCATATAATTTTGTTGTTTTTAGTATATTGATAAAATTATGCAGTCATCACCACTATCTAATTCCAGCATATTTTTATCACCTCAAAAGAAACCTTGTACCCATTAGCAGTCATTCCCATTCGCCCTCCTCCTCAGCCCTTGGCAATCACTGATCTACTTTCTATCTATTGATTTACCTATCCTTGATATTTCATACAAATATAATAATATAGTATCTGGCTTTTTCTGGCTGACTTCTTTCACATAGCATTATGTTTTCAAGATTCAACCATGTTGTAGAATGAATCAATACTTCATTCCTTCTAATGGCTGAATAATACTCCATTTTAAAGATATACTACATTTGTTTTCCCATTTTCCACTTAATAGATTTTTCGGTTGTTTTCACTATGGGCTATTATGATTAATAGTGCTATGAAAACTTGTGTACAAGTTTTTGTGTGGATGTGTGTTTTCAATACTCTTGAATCTGTACCTTAGAATTGAATTGCTGTATCATATGGTGGTAATTCTATGTTTAATCTTTTTATTTTTTTATTTTCAGAGACAGTCCCACTCTATCGCCAGGGTAGAGTGCAGTGGTGCAATCATGGCCCTCTGCAGCCTCCAACTCCTGGGCTCAAGCTATTGTCCTATCACAGCCTCTCAAGTAGCTTGGACTGCAGGTATGCACCACCATGCCCAGATAATATTTATTTACATTTTTGTAGAGATGAGGACTTCCTATGTTTCCCAGACTGGTCTCAAACTTCTGGCCTCAAGTAATCCTCCTGCCTTGTCCTCCCAAAGTGCTGGGATTACAGGCATGAGCCAGTGCACCTGCCTATGTTTAACATTTTGAGGAACTCTTCAAACTGTTTTCCAAATTGACTATGGCATTGTATATTCCCACTAGCAAGATATGGATTCTAGTTTCTCCATGTCTTCAGCAACACTTGTTAATACAGTTGACACTTGAACAATGTGGGGGTTAGGGGTGCCACCCCCTGTGCAGTTGAAAATTCACATATAACTTTTGACTCCCTTGGAACTTAACTACTAAAAGCCTACTGTTGACCAAAAGCCTTGCCAATAACACAGTCAATTAACACATATTTTTATGTATTATATATTCTTGAAGGGTTTTTTGTGTCTCTATTTCCTTCAGTTCTGCTCTGATTTTAGTTATTTCTTGCCTTCTGCTAGCTTATGAATGTGTTTGCTCTTGCTTTTCTAGTTCTTTTAATTGTGATGTGAGGGTGTCAATTTTGGATCTTTCCTGCTTTCTCTTGTGGGCATTTGGTGCTATAAATTTCCCTCTACACACTGCTTTGAATGTGTCCCAGAGATTCTGGTATGTTGTGTCTTTGTTCTCGTTGGTTTCAAAGAACATGTTTATTTCTGCCTTCATTTCGTTAGTACCCAGTAGTCATTCAGGAGCAGGTTGTTCAGTTTCCATGTAGTTGAGTGGTTTTGAGTGAGTTTCTTAATCCTGAGTTCTAGTTTGATTGCACTGTGGTCTGAGAGACAGTTTGTTATAATTTCTGTTCTTTTACATTTTCTGAGGAGAGCTTTACTTCCAAGTATGTGGTCAATTTTGGAATAGGTGTGGTGTGGTGCTGAAAAAAGTGTATATTCTGTTGATTTTGGGTGAAGAGTTCTATAGATGTCTATTAGGTCCGCTTGGTGCAGAGCTGAGTTCAATTCCTGGGTATCCTTGTTAACTTTCTGTCTCGTTGATCTGTCTAATGTTGACAGTGGGGTGTTAAAGTCTCCCATTATCATTGTGTGGGAGTCTAAGTCTCCTTGTAGGTCACTCAGGACTTGCTTTATGAATCTGGGTGCTCCTGTATTGGATGCATATATATTTAGGATAGTTAGCTCTTCTTGTTGAATTGATCCCTTTACCGTTATGTAACGGCCTTCTTTGTCTCTTTTGATCTTTGTTGGTTTAAAGTCTGTTTTATCAGATACTAGGATTGCAACCATATTCTTACAATAAAGTAAGCTAGAGAAGCGAAAATGTTATCTAAAAAAATCATAAGGAAGAGAAAATATATTTATTACTCATTAAGTGGAAGTAGATCATCATAAAGATCTCCATCCTCATTGTCTTCATGTTGAATGGGCTGAGGAGGGGGAGAAGGAGGAAGGATTAGTCTTACTGTCTCAGGTATGGCAGATGTGGTAGAAAATCTGCAAATAAGTGGACCCACACAGCTCAAGCCTGTGTTGTCTGAGGGTCAACTGTATATATCTTCTTTATTATAGCCATCCCAGTGGACGTGAAGTGGCATCTCAAGGAAAACGTTTAGAATATTTTGTTATTAATGGAAGTGATAAAGATACAACATACCAAATCTTCTAAGGTATAGCTGAAGTAGTGCTTAGAGAGACATTTATAGCTATAAATTACTACATATGTTTTAAAAGAGGAAGATCTCAAACAAATTAAGCATTCACCTTAAGAAACTAAATAAATAAGAAAATATAAAACCAAAGCAAGCGGAAGGAAGGAAATAATAAAGATTAAAGAATAAAAATAGATAATAAAGAATAGAGAATAAAGTAAATGAAACAGAGAATAGAAAAACAATAGAGAAAATCATCAAAATCAAAATTGTTTCTGTGAAAAGATCAACAGAGGTAACAACCCTTTAGCTAGAAAGAAGGAGAAAAGAGAATACTCAAAATATTAAAATCAGGAATAAAGGGACAGTAGTACAGAACTTATAGAAATAAAGGATTTTAAGGGCATAGTATGAACAAGAAGTTTATATCAACAAATTGGCAAACTTAAAATAACACCAATTGTTGAAACAAACTCAGAGAGAAATAGAAATATCTGAATTAACATATAACAAGTAAAGTGATTAATTTAAAAAAACTTTCCACATAAAAAAGATCAGGCACTGAGGTCTTCAATGGTGACTTCTACCAAATATGTAAATAGTTAAGAATTTATCAATTATTCACAAACTCCTCCAAAATATGGAGGAGGAAGAAATGCTTCCCAATTGATTCTATAAGATCAGTATTACCCTAGTACCAAAATAAAAAACATTACAAAAATAAAATTTCAGAACAATATGTCTTATGAATATAGACACAAAAATATAAACAACACAAATCCAGCAACATATAGAAATGGATACACCATGACGAAGTGGGATACATCCCAGGAATGCAAGGCTGGTCCCACATATGAAAATCTATCAATAAAATACAAAGGATTAATACAATAAAGTACAAAAACCGCATACCGAAAATGCATTTGACAAAATCCAACACTCTTTCATGATTAAAAAAATTCTTGGCAAACTAGGAATAGGTAGGTAAGTTTTTTGCATGCTACGTGACAGAAGGTGACTGAGTCCTTGAATTCCTACTTAGAAGACAGCAATTTTAAGAGAAGGAATATTGTCAGTATTCAAGTTTTTTTGAAAAATAAACTTCTATCCATATTTTCCCCAAGTACAATTATTTTGGTGTTTGCTTCCAGAGTTAGCATTACCTTACCAATTAAAATTTTTCTAATCAAAGCTGTGATTTTGCTATCTTTAATGTTTCAAATAAAAAGGAAGGTCAAAACCTGCTTAAGACCTAACTAACAGAAAGGTCCAGGATAAAGATTTTAAAACTAATATAATTCTAATGAGAGGCTTTTCTTAAAAGACTAAGATACCTACCTAAGTGAAAATTAAATCACCTTTCTGCTTCCAGGAATCTTCTTTCGATACTATTTTAGAGTTAATAGCCTCTTCACTCAAGGGAAGTCCTAAAACTTATGTGGAAATCAATCTTCTGACATGGCAAAAAGGAAAAAATCCTTATTTTCTCCTAAGATTAGAGAAAATGCAAAACAAAGAAATCAGCAGTCAGCAAGACTCAATAATCCTTCTGCACCTTAGAAGTTATCCAAGAAAATTTAATTACAATTGTAAGAACTTAATAGATCAAACTATCAGAATAATGTTCTGTCGTCTGCTATCAGATACATATGTTTGTAAATATTTTCAAAATTTAAAATGTGAATTTAATGAGAATCTGAATCTTTCTTTCTGTGGTTATAGAACTTCCTTAGAGGCATTATTTCATTTGAAGGCTTATCCCTTAAAAAGAAATGCATGATGACAGTGAAGGATACTTAGAATGTATTTATTTATTCAACAAATTCTTATCACAAGGCTGTGTTATGATATGTAGTAGGGAGCCAACAGTGAACAGAATAGACAAGGATCCTTTCTAATAGAACAAATATTCTAGTGAAAAATTCAACTTCTAAAACTTTTCAAATATCTACAGTGGAAAATAAACCATGATTCTCACTGAAAGTCTTTTTCAACAAGGCAGTAATCTCAAAATCTATCTTAAAAGGCATTACAGAATCTCTCTTGGTGCTTTAAATTGTTTCACCAAGCAGGTTATTCTATTGTTTAAAGTGTTAGCAAGGAAAGAAGAAATGTAATCAAAATGGATTACGTCTTACTGAGCCTGAATCTATGTGGATTTTTGTATTATTAATAAGTAAAACCCTAGTCTCAGACAAAAGATGAACTGGAAGATGGTTGTGTAATGGGGTGGATGTTCATAGGGACATGCATACCTAGTTTTAGTACTGAGCTTGTTACGAGCAACAGCCACAGTGTTTTACAGAAGAATGGCAAGTACTTATTAAGAAGCTAGTCAGTCAAGTAACAGTCATTTTAAAAATTTTCTACTGTACATTTGAATTTCATTTCATTCTTTGAGCCATGATTGATATATATGGCCCTTGATATGGCACTGTGCTTATGTCACACAATCTGAGTAAGAAACAGAAAAGACCTGTGGAAACTTGCGATCTTGCTGCTTATCATTTTCCTTAATGTTTCAAAATAATACAATAATCACAGTTTGCCAATTCCTTTTACATATATTGTCTTCTGCAAATTCTTTCCTGCCTTCTAGCAGGGAGTATAACATAATTATAAACCACATGGCAAATCCATGGTAGTTTCCAGTCTTTAGCTCCTTCTATTGTACTACCTCGACCAATTTTTTTTTCTGTTCCTCCTTATCAAAATGACTATAGTAAATATATCTTCTGCATATTATTTGTGAGTTTCAAATGAAATGACTTTTGTAATATTTAAGTGCTTGACACATATAAGCTCTTATTATTAACTTTCAGAAAAGCAAATTAAGCAAAAAAAAAAGTGTAGGGTGAAATTATCTTAAAAATTATAATCACAAACTAAATGCCACTTACAATATGTAGGTAGTTTCCAGAAAACAAGTATAAATTAACGATATTAGATTCTGAGAAATACATGTAGACGCTGTGTTTAAAAAGCTTCTAAATTTATATTTCTCATCTAGGAACTAATTCCAACTTTTTAGCTTATTGGCCCATCAAATATCACTTGATAAATATATACTAGATATAATATATCTAGTATATATTAGAACACTTTTCCGTGTCTTTAGATTTGCAGGTAGTATTTTACCCAGTTAAGTAACTTTGCTGAAGCAATATGTATTTCAATTTGCAGCAAATAGATCTTACATGGCTTATCACTTTCTATTGCAAATGAATTATGCAAATACTTTTTTTGTTTTTTAAAAAAATTTTAATAGGTTTTTGGGGAAGAGTGGTGTTTGCTTACATGAGTAAGTTCTTTAGCGGTGATTCCTGAGATTTTGGTGCACCCATCCTCTAAGCAGTGTACACTGTACCCAGTGTGTAGTATTTTATCCCTCACCCCCCTCCCACCATTTTCCCCAAGTCCCCAAAGCCCATTGTATCCTTCTTATGCCTTTGTATCCTCATATCTTAGCTCTCGTTTATAAGTGACAACACACAATGTTTGGTTTTCCATTCCTGAGTTACTTCACTTAGAATAATGATCTCCAGTTCCATCCTGGCTGTTGCAAATGCCATTATTTCATTCCTATTTATGGCTGAGTAGTATTCCATGGTATGTATATATACATATGCCACAGTTTCTTTATCCAGTTGTTCATTACTGGGCACTTGGGCTGGTTCCATATTTTTGCAATTATGAATTGTGTTGCCATAAACATGAGTGTGCAAGGATCTTATTCATATAATGACTTCTTTTCCTTTGGGTAGACACCCAGTTGTGGGGACTGCTGGATCAAATGGTAGTTCTACTTTTAGTTCTTTATGGAATCTCTATAGTTTTGCATTGTGGTTGTACTAGTTTACATTCCTATCAGCAATGTAAAAGTGTTCCCTTTTCACTGCATCCTCACCAACGTCTATTATTTTTTGATATTTTGATTATGGCCATTCTTGCAGGACTAAGATGGTATTGCGTTGTGGTTTTGATTTGCATTTCCCTGATCATTAGTGATGTTGAGCATTTTTTCATATGTTTGTTGATCATTTGTATATCTTCTTTGGAGAATTGCCTATTTATATCCTTAGCCCACTTTTTGATAGGATTGTTTGTATTTTTCTTGCTGATTTGTTTGAGTTTCTTGTAGATTCTGCATAGCAGTCCTTTGTCAGGTGTATAGATTGCAAAGATTTCCTCCCATTCTGTGCATTGTTTGTTTACTCTGCTGAATGTTTCTTTTTCTGTGCAGAGGCTTTTTAGTTTAATTAAATCCCATCTATTTATCTTTGTTTTTGTTGCATTGCTTTTGGGTTCTCAGTCATGAAGTCTTTGCCTAAGCCAATGTTTAGAAGGGTTTTTCCGATGTTATCGTCTAGAATTTTTATGGTTTCACGTCTTAGATTTAAGTCCTTGATCCATCCTGAGTTGATTTTTGTATAAGGTGAGAGATGAGGATCCAGTTTCATTCCCCTACATGTGGCTTGCCAATCATCCCAGTACCATATGTTCAATAGGGTGTCCTTTCCCCGCTTTATGTTTTTGTTTGCTTTGTCAAAGATCAGTTGGCTGTATGAATTTGGCTTTATTTCTGGGTTCTCTATTATTTTCCATTTGTCTCTGTGCCTATTTTTATACTAGTACCATGCTGTTTTGGTGACCATGGCCTTATAGGATAGTTTGAATATACTATACTGTATTATATTATAGTATAGGTAATGTGATGGCTCCAGATTTGTTCTTTTTGCTTAGTCTTGCTTTGGCTATGTGGGCTCTTTTTTTTGGTTCCATATGAATGTTTAGGATTGTTTTTTCTAGTTCTGTGAAGAATGATGATGGTATTTTGATGGGAATTGCATTGGTTTTGTAGATTGCTTTTGGCAGTATGGTCATTTTCACCATATTGATTCTACTCATCCATGAGATGAAATTCTGAAATTCATGATTCTGCACATCCATGTGTGTTTCCATTTGTTTGTGTCATCTATGATTTCTTTCAGCAGTGTTTTGTACTTTTCCTTGTAGAGGCCTTTCACTTCCTTAGTTAGGTATATTCCTAATATTTTATTTAAATTTTTTTGCAGCTAGTGTAAAAAGGGTTGAGTTCTTGATTTGATTCTCAGCTTGTTATATGGTTAGGCTTTGTGTCCCCACTCAAATCTCATCTTGATTTGTAATCCCCATAATCCCCATGTGCTAAGGGAAGTAATTGAATCATGAGGGTAGTTTCCCCAATGCTGTTCTCATGATAGTGAGTGAGTTCTCATGAGATCTGATCATTTTATAAGGGGTATTTTCCCCCTTCGCTGGGCACTTCTTCTTGCCACCTTGTGAAAAAGGTGCCTTGCTTCCACTTTGCCTTCTGCCATGATAGTAAGTTTCCTAAGGCATTCCCAACCATGCTGAACTGTGAGTCAATTAAACCTCTTTCATTTATAAATTGCCCAGTCTCAGGCAGTTTGTTATAGCAGTATGTAAACAGACTAATACACTTTGGTCACTGTTGGTATATAGCAGAGCTACTGATTTGTGTACATTAATATTGTATCCTGAAACTTTGTTGAATGCATTTATGAGTTCTAGGAGCTTTTTGGATGAGTCTTTAGGGTTTTCTAGGTATACGATCATATAATCAGAAAACAGTGAAAGTTTGACCTTCTCTTTGCTGATTTGGATGCCCTTTATTTCTTTCTTTTGTCTGCTTGCTCTGGCTAGGACTTCCAGTACTATGTCAAATAGAAGTGGTGAGAGTGGCCATCCTTGCCTTGTCTCAGTTCTCAGGGGGAATGCTTTCAGCTTTTCCCCATTCCGTATTATGTTTACTGTGTGTTTGTCATAGATTATCACATTATGGTATGTTCCTTCTATGCTGATTTTGCTGAGGGTTTTAGTCATAAAGGGATGCTGGATTTGGTCAAATGTTTTTCTGCATCTATCGAGATGATCATGTGATTTTTGTTTTTAATCCTGTTTATGCGATATATCACATTTATTGACTTGTGAACATTAAACCATCCCTGCGTCCCTGATATGAGGCCCACTTGATCATGGTGGATTATCTTTTAAATATGCTGTTGGATTCGGTTAGCTAGTATTTTGTTAAGGATTTTTGCATCTATATTCATCAGGGATATTGGTTTGTGTTTTATTTTTTGATTATGTCCTTTCCTGGTTTGGTATTAAGGTGATACTGGCTTCATAGAATGGTTTAGGGAGGGTTCCCTGTCTCTATCTTGTTGAATAATGTCAACAGGATTGGTGCCAATTCTTTGAATGTCTGATAGAATTCAGCTGTGAATTTGTCTGGTCCTAGAGGATTTTTGGTTAGCAATTTTTTTTTAATTTCAATCTTGTTCCTTGTTATTGGTCAGTTCAGAGTCTCTATTTCTTCCTGGTTTAATCTAGGAGGGTCGTATATTTCCAGGAATTTATCTATCTCCTCTAGGTTTTCTAGTTTATGTGCATAAAGGTGTTCGTAGCAGCCTTGAAGCATCCTTTGTATTTCTGTGGTATCAGTTGTAATATTTCCTGTTTCATTTCTAGTTGAGCTTATTTCAGTCCTTTTTCTTCTTTTCTTGGTTAATCTCACTAAAGGTCTATCAATTTTGTTTATCTTTTCAAAGAACCAGCTTTTTGTTTCATTTATCTTTTATATTTTTTTGTTTGTTTCAATTTTATTTAGTTCCGCTCTGATCCTTGTTATTTCTTTCCTTCTGCTGGATTTGGGTTTGGTTTATTCTTGTTTCTCTAGTTCCTTGAGGTGTGATTGTCTATTTGTGTTATTTGTGCTCTTTCAGATTTTTGGATGTAGGCATTTAAGGCTGTGAACTTTCTTCTTAACACCACCTTTGCTGTATCCCAGAGGTTTTGATAGGTTGTATCAATATGATAATTCAGTTCAAATAATTTTTACATTTTCATCTTGATTTCATTGTTGACCCAGTGGTTATTCAGGAGCAGGTTATTTAATTTCCATGTATTTGCATAGTTTTCAGGGTTCCTTTTGGAGTTGATTTCCAATTTTATTGCATTATGGTCTGAAAGAGTACTTGATATAACTTCAATTTTCTTAAATTTGTTGAGATTGTTCTGTGGCTTATCATATGGTCTATCTTAGAGAATGCTCCATGTGCTGATGAATAGAATGTATATTCTGTCATTGTTGGGTTTAATGTTCTGTAAATATCTGTTAAGTCTATTTGTTCTAGGGTATAGTTTAAATCCATTGTTTCTTTGTTGACTTTCTGTCTTGATAACCTGTCTAGTGCTGTCAGTATTGTATTGAAATGTCCCCCACTATTATTGTATTGCTGTGTATCTCATTTCTTAGGTCTAATCATAATTGTTTTATAAATTTGGGAGCTCCAGCATTAGGTGCATATATATTTAGGATTGTGATATTTTCCTGTTGAACAAGTTCTTTATCATTATATAATGTCCTTCTTTGTCTTTTTAAACTGCTGCTGCTTTAAAGTTTGTTTGTTCTGATATAAGAATAGCTACTCCTGCTTGCTTTTGGTGTCCATTTGCATGGAATATCTTTTTTCACCCCTTCACCTTCAGTTTATGTGAGTCCTTATGTGTGAAATAAGTCTCTTGAAGACAGCAGATACGTGATTGGTGAATTCTTATCCATTCTGCCATTCTGTATCTTTTAAGTGGAGCATTTACATTCAATGTTGGTATTGAGATGTGAGGTACTATTCTATTCATCATGCTATTTGTTTTTCTGAACACCTTGTTTATTTATTTATTTGTTTGTTTGTTTTGTTGTTTTATAGGTCCTGTGAGATTTATGCTTTAAGGGGATTCTATTTTGGTGTATTTTGAAGATTTGTTTCAGGATTTACAGCTGCTTTTAGCAGTTCTTGTAGTGCTGGCTTGGTAGTGGTGAATTCTCTCAGCATTTGTTTGTCTATAAAAGACTATCTTTCTTTCATTTATGAAGTTTAGTTTTACTGGATACAAAATTCTTGGCTGATAATTGTTTTGTTTAAGGAGGCTGAAGATAGGGCCCTCATCCCATCTAGCTTGTAGGGTTTCTGCTGAGAAATCTACTGTTAATCTAATAGGTTTTCCTTTACAAGTTACCTGGTGCTTTTCCCTCACAGCTCTTAAGATTCTTTCCTTTGTTTTGACTTTAGATAACCTGATGACTGCCTAGGCAATGATGTTTTTGTGATAAATTTCCCAGGTGTTCTTTGAGCTTCTTGTATTTAGATGTCTAGGTCTGTAGCAATGCTGGGGAAGTTTTCCTTGCTTATTCCCTCAAATATGTTTTCCAAACTTGTAGATTTCTCTTCTTCCTCAGGGATACCCATTATTCTTAGGCTTGGTCATTTAATATAATCCCAAACTTCTTGGAGGGTTTGTTCATTATTTTATTCTTTTTTCTTTGTCTTTGTTGGAATGGGTTAATTCAAAAACCTTGTCTTTGAGCCATGAAGTTCTTCCTTCTACTTGTTTGATTCTATTGCTGAGACTTTCTAGTGCAGTTTGTATTTCTCTAAGTGTCGCCTTCATTTCCAGAAGTTGTGGTTTTGTTTTAACTTATGCTATCTATTTCACTAAAGATTTTCCCCTTCATATCTTGTACCATTTTTTTGATTTCATTAAGTTGGACTTCACATTTCTCCAGTGCCTCCTTGATTAGCTTAATAATTGACCTTCTGAATTCTTTTTCTGTCAATTCAGAGATTTCCTCTTGGTTTGGATCCATTGCTGGTGAGCTTGTGTGATCTTTTCTGGGTGTTAAACAACCTTGTTTTGTCATATTACCAGAATTGTTTTTCTGGTTCTTTCTCATTTGGGTAGATTATGTCAGAGAGAGGATCTGGGGCTCAAGGGCTACTGTTCAGATTCTTTTGTCCCATGGGGTGCTTCCTTGATGTGTTGCTCTCCCCCTTCTCCTAGGGATGTGGGTTCCTGAAAGCCAAATTGTAGTGTTTGTTATGTCTCTTCTGGATCCAGCCACCCAGCTGAGCTACCAGCCTCTGGACTGGTACCGTTGGGTGTCTTCACAGAGTTCTGTGATTTGAACCATCTTCAGGTCTCTCAGTCATGGATAGCAGCACCTGCTCTAGTGGAGGTGGCAAGGAAGTAAAATGGACTCTGTGAGAGTCCTTAGTTGTAGTTTTGTTTCTTGCACTAGTTTTGTGTTGGTTGGCCTCCTGCCAGGAGGTGGTGCTTTCAAGACAGCATCAACTGCAGTAGCATAGGGAGGATCAGGTGGTGGATGGGGCCCTAGAACTCCAAAGAGATTACATCCTTTGCTTTCTGAGTTTTTCCGGCTGTCTCCAGTGGCCTGCAAGAGCAATCCACTTCCTTCAAAGGGTCTTTAGATTCTCTTAGCTTTCCCGGTATGTTTGTGCAGTAGTTACTGGAGTGAAAGTTCACGATGTGAGTCTCCACATGCTGCTCTGTCCATCTGATTGGGAGCTGCAATTTAGTCCTGCCTCCTACCCATTATATTCCTGCTTCAATCCCCCAACCAACACTCTGAGTTCCTCAAATACATCCTGAATGCTTCTGAGCTTTCAACTTTCTAACTGTAATTGCTTTTATTTCAGAGATTGACTTGGGAAATTATAGATAATGAAATCTGATGAAACTCTCTCTGACTAATAATCCATAATAAACAGTGGCCTGGGGGTGAGGTGGGGAAAGAATGTATAACACCTGAATACTAGTGAAGTCCTATGTTCTTGGAATTATAAAACTCGAGAAGTTAAAAAAAAAAAAAAAAGTCTTGACAGCTGACAACATGTTATACTGCTTCTTACAGACCAGAAATACTCCTCAGAATATTATCAATAATCAGAGGCCACAAGTGACTGTGGCCAAACAAGATATAAACAACACCACTCTGCAATCATGTCTAAATATCGGGAAAAGGACACTATGCAACCACAAAAATTACCAAGCATCCTTAGTTTCTGGCTAATTGAGTGGCTACAGTTTCTTTACTAATGATAACCCTAGCTTCTATCTCAGTTGTTTGGACTTATATTTTTTCTCTCTTTTAAGAATAATCTGAGTTTTGTTGACAAGCACAATGTTTTAATTGGTGTCCCAATAGAAAAACGTATCCCATTGGTCAGAAAAACAGAAAACATGTGTATTCCTAAGAAATACTCATAAACCAAGTAACTTTCCCCACCAAGCAATGACTCAGAGATATTATTGTAAAACTACTCTCCTAAAGAATTCAGAGCAGATTAATCATAATCCAAAGATTTCCCTGTCAGAGTGAATGTTAACTAAAAAGGGGAAGATATGTGCAAAGTGTTTTTAGGCTTAAATGAATGAATACAATATCCTCTTGATATTAACACATACAATTCTCACTTAAAAATTAAAAAATAAGAAATCTACAGATTAATGTCAGCAACAAAATTTTCTTGGATCTTCTAAATGGACATAGTTAAACAAATAAACTGTCCAGCATTTATTGTGAAGTGACATAATTAACAAATATATCTCTCACATATAGACATGCACATATGTATATGTCTATATAAAGATGGAATATATGTTCATTAGTATTATAAAATACATTTAATTACATGACTCAGTTTAATAGAATACTGTAGCCTTACCACATTCACTTACTCCTGGATGTATATCTACCAATTTTGAAGAAAAAAAGTAAATATTAAAATCATTACTTTGGATGGTAAGCAAAGATGTCAAGTCAAGTACTTTTTTATTCTACTTAGATGTTAAGGCTTTAAGTATGTCACTTAAATATGTATACAACATACTTCTAATGTGAATTTAGTTCTGGAATGCAATGCACTATTTTATTTGCTTTCCATTTGCAAATGAACTCTTACTCTTTTTACAGTTGCACTGCTTGACAGTTCCTTTATTACAGTTGACATAATTAAAATAGAACTATTTTACTTATAGTTATGATATATTATAGTAATTTAAACCAATGCTTTCACTAGAGTTCTTATTACAGTTGTTCAAACGTATTATTTTAATATAAAAACATTAAAATTTCACAAAGTAAAATGTCTGCAATTATTATCCTTAGTAAGTTGGTAATAAGCAACAATACAGAGTTTTGAAATGTACAGTAAATTTTAAAATAATAAACATGGATGAGGAAAAGCTCCAATCTTCAACAACATTCATATATTGTGGAATGTGTCGTTAGTGATATGTACATTTCAAATAAATGAAAGTTAGTATAAAGATTATGATTTAGTAAAATGTGTACGGATCTGGATATATTGATATTTACTGCAAATTGATAAATATAACATCTGCAATGGTCTGAAAAATTTTAAAAGCTCCTCTGACTTTAACACAAACATCGGTATGTCCTAGTTACTATTGCTACATAATAAATCATCTTGAATTGGCTAAAACAACAGCCATTTTATTATGCTCAAAGATTCTACAGTTCAGGAATATAGAAAGGGCAGACAGTTGAGGCTTCTGTTTTTTGGGGCTTCAGGAAGATGTTTTCTGGCCTTTTGGGTCTACTGATGCTCCTGCAGGAAGGCTGCAGTTCTTAACAGCACATGGGGAGCCCTCATCTGGTGTTTGGCTTAATTCCTGGTGCCTGGATTTCTGGAGAGAGGTGTGATTAATGTGGCCAAGAACATCCTTTTCCACCCATGTTGGAGAGATCGCTGTGTGGATCTGGTCCCTACAATTTAGAAGCAGCTTTTCACCTTGATGCTCAAATGACCATGCTTAACCACTACTTGCCCTGCATCCTTTTCACCAGCTGAGATTCCCAGCAAGCAGTAGGCTCCCATCCTGGACTCCAAGGAGACAACTCTTCCCTGCACCTTCACCTGGAAAGCTGTTGCCCTTTCTTCCCAGATCACGATCACAAGACTCCAAATTACCGAGTGGGGTCCAACAAGGTGGGACTGTAAGGAACATGTCCTGTGGACATTACCTTCACTGTTCTCATGAGTGGGATGGGAAGAAAAGAGTCCTCCCCTTCCAATTGGTGGATTTTCTGGGCTTGGAAGGAGGAAAACAAAAACAAAAACAACCAAACAGAAAATAACTATTACCTGAATTATTATGAAACTTCAGAGAAAACTACTTATTTGAAGAAAATAAAATACGATTTATGTTGTTGAATTTGCATTGCCAGAAAGTTTCCAGTGTCCTTACTACAATTTTTTTTTCACCATCAAGTTTGGTCAGAATCTCACAGCTCAGAGAAAATTATGGAGGAATAATAAGATCTAGAGCAGTGCTTCTCGTATCTTATGTGTGAAGAATCTTTTATTAATTTGTTTAATTTCCAGACTGACAGTTTTGTAAAATGCCTTATTAGAAAAAATTTTAAAAATAAAGAAATAAAAAGTCAAGCCCCAAATATTGTATTTTAACACCCTAAAATTTCATTTCAATAAATATAATCAAAGTAACATAACAGGAATAAAAGAATTACACAAACTGAACACATTATTCATTGAAATAAGCATAGTTGCAATTAATATAGATAATTCTGTTAAACTTATGTCATTCTGCAATCATAATGTTATAAGTTATGAAAAATAGCAATCTCCTATATTAGAATACCTCTAAGAGCACTTTCAACAAATGCCGTATTTATCAATATTTAAATATTTTAGTGTGTCAAAAAAATTGCATCTTTCCTATGGACTTTTCTGATCTGGACTGAGTGGGGGTGACGAAATGGCTCACAGGGCATGTGTAATATGTCTATATGATTTATTTTAATAATACTCACAGCAGAGAAACCTCTCAGAGATTTTGAAAGCAATTTTATTAAGCTCTGGATATTTATTTCAACGTTCCATCAATGACAGTTCCAACAAGTTAGCTTCTTAAGTTATAGTTATATTGAAATCATCTTTCAAAGGAAATGCACTAAGGATTTTCTAGACTTTGAGGTTACAATTGCAGAACCAATCTTAAAATATGCCATACTGTAAGGTGGTCCTACTGTGCATGACTAATGCTGGGGTCAGACTCAGGAAACGCTGATCAATTGTTAGAGAGCAGGTCTCTACCCTGATCAACCACAGGGGTCCAGTGATCACACCTGGAGGTCCTGGCAATGTCAAATTGCTCTAGGAGTGTGCACCTGAGTCTCAACTTTGATATTATTCCCTTTATCAAATAATACTGGATTACAGAGCATTCAACGCAAAGAGAAATATCTTTCTGATTTTCTCTCTGGCTTGAGCATCTACCTTAATCATATTCACTAAATTAATGGAATTCTGCCCACATGTCTTTTACACAAAAGAACTGTGAATTTAAAATGCAGCCGTGGTGTTACTCACAAGTGCCCACATCCCAAGTCAGATCCACAAAGAAATGAAATACTCTCCATACTCAAACCCCCTTTGCCCTTTTTTTTTCAGTTGATTTTCATATTTATGTTATCTATCAGAAGCTTAATAATTCTCGCTCTGTGAAATTATGTTTATGACAGTGCTGTGAATTCTCGGGTGGTATTTACTGCAGAGTGGTAGACCCCTGTCAATGCAGCTCTGGCTCTGGCAGAAATGCCAGCATTACACTGTAGCCCATGGCAGACTCTACTATCCTCAGCACCACGCAAGAGTCAGCAGTCACCACCTCCCGAGAGAGTCAGTCACCCTCAGCCTTGGAGCAGCAACTCACCCTCTGCGTGCTACAAATCCCCCGGGCTGGAAGTCCTGGCGCCAAGCCTGCGAGCTTCCCGGGTGTTGACCTGCGCCTAAGTCCTTAAGTGACTCTGTCCTCGAAGGAACGCACTTTTAAACAGTCCCTTTGTCCAAAGAGGCAAGAGTTTTGCCCTTCGGTGGTGTGAACCTACAGTACTCCCCATGCCCTGTGTTTTCCGGGTGAACTCGGAGACCAGGGGCTGTGATGCGAGCTCCAGGCTCGCTGCAGGAGAGGGAGGCTCTTCCTAGAATGTGGTGGTAGTGCTGACAGGTGATTGTTTCTCACTGCTGGTGAAAGCGCCATCAAAGCCCCCACTTTCTGAAATGGTAGTTCTGGTTTCCTCACAGACTTACGTGTGCGCTTGCAACATTAAAGTTTTCTTCTCTCCTGGGAAAAAATACAGTATCTCATTGTGCCTCTCAGCAGTGCTTCTACCCGGTGACCTCTTTGCCAGGGCCGAAGCTGAGCCTGGATAGGATCACCTGGCGCACGGGGATGGGACAGGCAGGCACACAGGAAAGAACCACTGTCCTGTGCTCCCAGGTGACCTTTTGCCAGGAGAAAGAATCCTCCAAGGGAGCGGAAAAAGTCAAGACCTCCAGGAACGTGTGTGTCTCACACCAGAATCTTTAATGCCTTCAAATCACAGACCAAGTTTCTTTTTTCCAGGGACTTGGGTGATGGCCAGGGTTTATTGACACAGAAATGGAAACAGACCATTCTTTAAGTTCACTGAGGTCCTGAAACAATAATCTTCTCAGGATGCTCAATGTGAAGATTTTCTTTTTGGTGTGTTTCTTCTCTTAAGGCGATATTGGTAAGTTTGAGATTGCTACTGGATTGCATTTGCTGATGTTTTAAGTTATTTTGCATTTCATCAGGAGTATTAGTCTGCATTTCCTCTAAGCCCTAAGATTTTGATATCGATGATATGCTTACCTTAAAGCAAGTTGGGAATGTCCCCCCTCCCACTTTTTTTTTTTTTCACTTACTTACTGAAAGAGTTCATGTGAGATTGGTATTATTTCTCCCTCAAATGTTAAAATTCACCAGCAAAATCTTGTGTACTAGAAGATGTCTTTATAACATGACGTTTAATGACAATTCCTTTAATGAATTTTGAACTGTACAGATTTTCTATTTCTCTGGGTCCAAATTGGTAAGTTGTGTTTTTCAAAAATTTAAAGAGCAGTTTGTCCATTTCATCTAAGTAGTCAAATTTAGTGGCATAAAATTGTTCCTAATATTCCTTTACCTTTTGCTAGCTGTAGTATCTGTTATGAATTATTTTTTTTTTTTTTTTTTTTTTTTTTGAGATAGAGTCTCGCTCTGTCACCCAGGCTGGAGTGCAGTGGTGTGATCTCGGCTCACTGCAACCTCCGCCTCCCGGGTTCGAGTGATTCTGCTGCCTCAGCCTCCCAAGTAGCTGGGATTGCAGGCATGTGCCACCACGTTTGGCTAATTTTTTGTATTTTTTGTAAAGATAGGGTTTCACCATGTTGGCCAGGCTGGTCTGGAACTCCTGACCTCAAGTGATCCAACCGCCTTGGCCTCCCAAAGTGTTGGAATTACAGGCGTGAGCCACCGTGCCCCTCCTGGGAGATTTTTAATTATGAGAAATGACCTTGTTTGAAAAAGCCAGTGACTGGTATTCAAATGTCATTTACTTAGAGCATTTGCAAATCAGCACTGGTGCTCACTGATCAGCTTGCTGCCCTTCAGCTGAGCCACCTCAGTTTTGCGCAACCACGTCAGAGTGGAGGAAGAATGCTAACAAGACTGGTTTACAGAGGGTCTGTGCATCCTTACTGCATGTGTAGCTTCTTAAAGTGACTATAGAATTTGAATGCATGTTTGCCTTATATTCCCTTTATTTTATCATCTTACCTCCTATTTTCTACCCTATCCCTCATAGCATATTTCTTGTTTGCTAATCCAGCTTCAAGTGCTTCAGGTTCCACTCAGGTTCTCTGAGGCATACAGGGATCCATATTTCAGTGCATGCATGAGACAGTATGACTCTGTCCATGGGAACCTCTGGTTTATGTGTGGCAGGAGTGGCAGGGCTCCTGTAGCCCACATACCAAAGCAATATTTGATATGCAGAGCCCAAACAGACCCAAATTCCCCCTAGATTAATGAGGAATGAATAACTGTCTGAAGAGTTACGGGCAAGGATTCACAAATTTGCTAACACTAAGTCAAACTTATCATTAGAATGCTATCATTTTGCCTTTCCAGCCAATTATTTTTCACTTTCCTTGTTATTTCCTCTCAGAGACTATCAGAATGCACTCCATGGGCCCGACCAATTCCTTTCTCACTTATCATGTGAGTACTCCACTCAGTGAAACTGAAACCCCTCAAATTGTACCCATCTATTACTCACAAAGCCTGCACCTTGTGGGTAGTTAGCTAATTCTTCTACTTCTGCATAAGATGTTCTTTGCTGCCTTTGGTTCTTGGTGACTTGCTCCTTAGCTTGTCTGGGCAATGTCTCCCTCTCTGTGACAGGTTTCCTCTCTTTCTTGAACATGTCAAACACTCGATAACTATTAACTGGATACCATCCCATGCTCAGGCTAGTTAGATAAGCTAACGGATATTTGACTTGAAAAGAGCATTGGGGTTGAAATTCAGGAAACATGGACTTGTAGGCACTATTTTATTATTTTTGTATCCTTCCAGAGCCATCCTTCCTGAGCTATGAAATTGAGGAAGTGGGAATGATTTAGAAGGAGAATTTCCAAGACGCATTTCCAGACTTATAACAACTATTAGCATACTTTGCAATTTAAGATAGTACATGTGTCACAATTATTTTTACATTGTTTTGGTAAGGTACTTTATCAAAATTATATCCATAGTAGCAGATAAGGATGATTATTTATTTCAACAAATTCCTAGAGAGATCACTGCACACAACACTACTGAATGATCAGTTTTATATAATGAGAGAAAAAAGTTCAACTTTTCCTTTTCATTTTTTTCTACTTTTGTGTAGAGAAAGTATAAATAGAGGACACATTTGCCTTGTTACTTTCAAGTAACATTGGCAATTGTTTTAGAAATTGGCTCTTTGTAGAAAAACAGATTTAATAAAGATCAAAGCTACCTTAGAAAATTTCCTTTATCGACACTTTTGTAAAAAAAATAGCAAGTTAGTCAAATTTTCCAGTCTCCTAATGTAACTAAATGGTCCCTGTGGATTCCATTCCACTTTGGTTTAAAAGGATATTAAAGAGGTAAGCATAATTCCTGCAACCTTACAAAGCCATTTAGTAATAAACAATTTATGCTGAAGTGGGAAACTCACATAAAAGAATCAATTTTTGATATGAAAAAGAATAACTTTGTAACATGCAGAAAGAACACGACTTTCAAATTCTTGAAATTATAGTACAAAAGAAATCCTAAAGGGCCAAACATGGTATTCCTGATAGATAACTACAGCAATAACATCCGTATGATAAAATAAATGTTATTTTTGGTGACAATGCATTTTCTTTTCCAACTGATCTGTATTCCCCTGTCACACATATGTAAAACTGAATGATTTCTGAATGTGTAATTAAATCATTCCTTGCTTGGCATATCATCCTGCCAGAAAACTTAGAAATATCAATATCTTTGTTGTGAAGCATATGAAAAATGGCAGTATAAAATCCTTTGTGATCTTAAACAAATATTATTTCCATATGTCTGTGTGTACATGTGTATTGCCAAATGCATCGTAGTAATTTATTTTCAAATGTTAGGAGCAAGGTAGAGACTTTATCACCACTCTTAGTCAAAGACAAATATAAAAGAACATGGTTACAATTCATACCACTATTTTAAAAAAACTTTTTTTTTTTTTTGAGACAGAGTCTCACTGTGTCGCCTAGGCAAGAGTGCAGTGGTGTAGTCTTGTCTCACTGCAACCTCTGCTCCTGGGTTCAAGCAATTCTTCTGCCTCAGCCTCCCAAGTAGCTGGGGCTACAGGCACCTGCCAACACACCCAGCTACTTTTTGTATTTTTAGTAGAGACGGGGTTTCACTATGTTGGCCAGGCTGATCTCGAACTCCTGACCTCATGATCTTCCCACCTCAGCCTCCCAAAGTGCTGGGATTACAGGCATGAGTCACCGCACCCAGCCAAAAAAACTTTTATAAAATACATTTTGGATGCAGTATTCAGACTTCAACAACTAGAGCCTCATGCCATTAATTCAGATAATGTGGATGAACTGAATGGAATAGCTAATGTAAATTTATAGCAAAAGTGAATAAAATAATATGCTTCATAGTGTTTACTTGCATCCAAAGACTCTAAATGGTTTACACTGAAGAAAGAGGTAAGTTCATGGAAACACCAGTCCACATTTAATTCATATAAATAAATACTTGGAAAATGTTAGAGGTGAAAGATTTTAGAAATTTGCTTTACTTTAGGATAGTACTCTATTCTTACCAAATCATGGTCACTTTTTTTTCTCTGAATCATCCATGTATCCTTTATAGATGTGCACTGCTGCTCATTTGGAGGTTTCCATAAAGACAATGAGGATAAAGAAGAATGTATTCACTCTGGCTAAATAAATTCTTTTGATGATGTATCAGTTTGTCCTTGTCTTCTAGAAAATGACGGGACATTAATATTAGTATGTCATAAATTAGTATTGTTACATCTTATTTTTTTAACAAAAATGTTCTAAAATGGTCTTTTTAAAACTTTTTAAATTAGAAAATATTACCATATAACCTTGTCAATACTATTAGTTTTTTTTTTATAAACCTTCTTTTACATACACAGGAAAACAATGAACTAAGTTCTGAATGTATCATCTATAATACAAAAGGAATTGTAGCTTATGGCTGGTATAATATTTTGCTGTTATTTCCTCTAATTTCTACTCCAAAATAGAGTCACAAGTTTTTTATAAAAACATCTTTGTACTCTAGGTTCCAACTCTAACATGTAAAGAGTTTTGAAATCATCAACCTTATCCTTACAACAGGAATAAAGCTGAAGACACTGAAAATCAACAACTTTTCTGGGACCCTTCGGACAACTGCAGTCACAAGGTAAACTACCATTTTTAAATATGGAGACAGAGGAATACAGAGTACAACTGACATCAGCTTACCTGGAGCAGGAACCACGGAACTAAAAAGTGGATGGATCACCTGAATGGTAATTCAGATAAATTGCTGTAAGTTGAGTGTGACATAGCTCAAGAATAAAAACTCCTTGGAGTCACAGTCTTAGAAGGGGTTCTGCATATTCAGAGGTTTTTACCTCCAAGAACCCCACCAAGTTCTCATCATGAAGAGCCAAGAAAAATCATCTCGTGTCTTTGGCAGGGGGAGGAGAAAAGTAACCACTTTGAAATATGACAGTTTTTTTCTTGTAACAAAGTCCTATGCTCCACTGAAAAATATTTTATCAGAGCCTTATCTTATGTTGACAGAAGGGCAGTTACCCAGTTCCAGCCACCCATAGCCTTTCTGTCTTACCTAAGTGGGGATGAAAAAAAAGGTGAAAGCTCTTGTGAAAGTCACAGCCCACATGGAAAGACCTGCTAAAAAACTGAAATTTAATCACAAGATTACAGAATTCTCTTTTCTCCCATTCCTTGCTACCAAATCAATGGGCATCTAGTATAATAACAGTGGATTTGTAGCCAAAAGATCTGCAAACTTAGACTCTATTTAAGAATGAGCTCTTAGGGAAACCTAAAGACAACACCAGAGAAAAAAACAAGGACATTAAAAGAATTGAAAGACTCTGACACATACAGCTACAGAAAACATTGGACACAGCCCAAATCCTAGCCAGGTTAAGATACAACCTCACACTAAAGGCCTATGTGTCTCATTCTCTTTTCCAAATATATGCATATAGCTTTCAATAACAACAAAAAAACTCAAGGTATGCTAAAAAGTAGGAAAAACACAGAAAATACAAAGCAAGCATTAAACCAAGACTCAGATTTGACAGAAATGTTGGACTTAGAGATGGAATGTAAAATAACTATGGTTCATATTTTAAGGGTCCTAATGGAAAAAAAGTAGACATTATGTAAAAACAGAGATAATGTAAGCAGAAATTTGACATTGAAAAATAGACACAAGAACCAAGTTAGGATTAAATATTAGGGTCCACCTGTTGCTAAAGCCCTAAATTGACCCTGGCTCATGTACAGATCTCCTTTAACTCCACTCAATCCTGCACTTTGGGGCTGCATGTGTAGCAAGACTTGGGTCTATAGAATTGTACAAGATATAGTTAATTTGCAGTTGGACTAGAGCAGCCCTGTGCTTATCTCTGGGGAACATGGAAATCTAGTGCTGACTCTTGGCCAAGATAAGGGTAGTGGAATAAATAATCATTTATAGAGTGCAATTTAAACTTTGAAACTCCTATGGTGGCACTCAGGCCCAGCTTAATTATTGATGGTTTTCACCAGCATAATTAGCTAGAAAGCCTTTGTTGTCTATATAATCAAACTGTTAGGGAGCTCCCCCCTAAACCAAGGTTTCCTGTACAAACCTTGTCATCTAATTTGAAGGCAAACTATTTCTTTGTGGGCCTAAGGATGACCCTGAAGAGCTATGTCTGGGAGAATCTAAGGGCTCTGACACTTGCTGGCATTATCTTGCACTCTATCTCTTGCACTCTATCCTTTGGCTTGAATACTCTGTGGGATCTTAGAAGTCCTTTCAATGATCTGATCAATGAACTTCATAAAAATAAATATTTTTTAGGCTAACTAATTGGAAGTTCACAGACTGTTCATATCCTCTCACAATATTCAAACTGGTGAAATCTTCATACTGACAAACCATCATAATTGTTTAGGTAGATAAAAAATGCAAATTTTGGAGCTTCATTAGAACTAGAATCAGAAGGTCCAGGGTAGAGCCTGGGAACTTGTATTTGTGGAACTCTGCCTAGATTGTCCTGATGATTAGCCAGTTGTGTGAACCACTGACCCACACCCTGGAGCTCCTCGGTTACCCTCAAGCTCCATTAAGGGTGTCGTGTAGCAGGAACATGTTTTGTCTGCTGGGAAACCACATGGGTTAAAAAGTACAGTATAAATGAATTGAAACCAAAGAAAATACTGGGTTAAGCACTTAGTGCATACTGTTTTTTAAACTTTTACATTAAATTGCTTGGCATGACATAATGTACATAAATGTTGCAATCAACCTCTAAATAGGAATACTGTAAAAATTGTTACAAATATTGTCCAAACTAGTAGAAAGGAAATGTAACTATTATACAATGATATAGGTCATATCTTATAACCAGGAAAAGTATTGTGTCTGAGAGACAATGGTGTATACACACTTAGAGCCATGGCAGCCATCCTAGGCTTGTAACATCAATGGTGGCCCAGAAATAATTTTGGGACTTTTTTTTCTCATCATGGCAAAGAGCCCGCTTTCAGGAACCAGGTTTCAGGAGCATTTGTGCCACCACTGACAATAGGTCAAACATTTCTAAAATGACTTTATTTTTCAGAGGTACATTTCTGCTTCATTTTGTTTCAGTTTAAATGGTAGTATGATGAGATACTTTTATTTACAATTGTCCCTTGGTATCCATGAAGGATTGATTCCAGGATCCCACCTGAATACCAAAATTCAGGAATTCTCAAGCTCCTGATATAAAATGGCCTGGTATTTGCATATAACCTACCACTATCCTCTGATACAATTTAACTTATCTCTAGATTACTTATAATACCTAACAAAATGTAAATCCTAGGCAAATCATTGTTATACTGTATTGTTTTGGGAATAATGACAAGGAAAAAGTTTGTACATGTTCAGTACAGATGCAATTTTTTTTCTGAATATTTTTGATCCATGGTTGGTTGAATCCACAGGCAGGGAACCCTCAGATGTGGAGGGCTGACTGTATTTATTTTTATTTTCTGCTATGCTGAAATGAGCAAACAGAGAAGGGAGAACCTAAGCATTAATATCTGAATAGCAGTTAAGTGCTGTGATTAAGAGCCTTGATTTTAGACCTGCCTGCAGGCTGTGTAATTCAAGTCCTAGCATTGTTACTTATTGCTGTGGGACCTAGGACAAAGTTCTTTATCCTCTTCCTGTCTTTCTCACCTCAGATGCAAGATGCAAACAACAAGATCTCATGTTTGTTTCAGGAATATATGACTTAAAAATATATAGTGTTTTGAAAGCAATGGTAATTATTTAGTAATTACACAGTAATAGCTACTTCAGTAAGTGTTAGCTTTGTAATAATTATTGATGCAGCCTCTCCCATCCTTAACCACAACCTCCCTTACTCCTCCTCCCTCTCCAAACTATTTTGGTCCAGAGGAAAAAACTAATTAATCTAACCAGTCTATACAATACAAGGTGTACTTGAAACTAATTCCAAAGAAGCCATAAAGATGAGGGCCAAAAATGAACAAACCTGGCAAAAGGAAAATATTCCGTTCCTAAAAAAAACATGTAATACTTTTAGTCTCTCTTACAAAGTGGAAATGCAAGAAATCTCTCTTATGATTGAGTTAAATATGAGCATCTATAATTCTAAGACATATTTATTTTGATGGGTTTTGTTGATCTTTATGTACAGGTAGAAAGAAAGAAACTATTTTTGATGAAGAACTGAAGTATTATTCTCTGAGAAATAATTCTGAGCCAGGACTGAGAATCTAGTTAGTCTGTGGCATTTGAGAAATAAATTTGGGTTTTAAAAACATGAATTATAAATGTTTACATTTCGGATTCTGGGTATAAATTTGAAGCTATAGAAATAACCAAAAGTGAAAAAGAGTGGTAGTAGTTCATAATTTGCTCTAATTACATATATCAAATCAATGGCCTGGTAGGAAGCAAGAGGGTTCACTCAGAAGATTTAAATTAACAATGGTTTATTAAAGAGGAGCTATTTACAGATCTGTGAGCGCGGTTCAAGGAATGAACAAGGCACAGTGAGACACTCAGCTGCTGGAGCCAGGGAGGAAGGGGCAAAGAGACGGTGGAAGCTGAAAGAGACAGAGAAAAAGCTACGGAAGCCGACCCCCCAGCAGCTGCTGCCAGCTGCAGGTGTGCAGGAAGTGAGTGCTGTTGTGTGGGAGGAGATGGCAGAGTGGTGATGATACCCAAACTGCCTTCTTCTTTTTCCTTCTACTTTATTACCCACTCCCTGCCAACACCTCCCATTACTGACCCAACAAGAAGCCAGAGAGTTAGGAAGCAGCCCAAATAGGGCACCAAGTCAGGTAGATGAACAAAAAATAAACTTCTCATCCTTCTGAGATTCTACTAGCAGTATCATTGACCCCTGTTTGTGCCTCAGATAGAGACTTTGGATTTAAGGGAAGCTACGTTATGCTGAGGTATAGCCGTTCCTGCCCTGTGTATTTATCCTACTTTAAATCCTTAGCCAAACTGGAATTTAATCTAATGTTACATTGGAGGTGTGTCTGTTACACAGAAACAGTCCAATCCATATGGGTAAAAAACTGATATAAATAAATCCATGGGAAATGGTTGGTTAAGCACTTAATATATCCTTAAAATTTAAAGAAAAAATTTGCAATTAAATTTAAATTACTGTATTAAAGTACTATAATGTTGTTGATAATTTAGGGGAGTGTTTAGCGGCTTGACTTTTGCTCAACAAGAGATTTTCTTGGTAGCTCTTACTAATCTACATTATTTCTCTTCTGGCCTTTTCAGGCATATGACAATCTCAAAAGATTGTTTTTCTGAGGCTAAATACAAGAAAACTCTACCACAGTGAAGAAAAAAAGCATAGATTTCGGAAATAGAAACTATAGGTTTGATACTAACTGCTGCATACATGCAATCTTTGGAAAATTGTTTACAGTTTTATAATGTCAATATCATCTACAAAAATTTAAAGAACCCAACTTTACCTCTAGGTCTGTAGTTAGGATTAAATAAGATAAATTATATAAAAATGTCTACTGCAGTGCCTAGATCATAGCATGTCTTCAAAAAAGTTTTCTTTCTTCTGACAAAATTTTCTAATCACCTACTTTAGGCCCTTTTTCAGAGAATATACTTCAAATTAGAACATGAAGTCTTCTAAATTGTGCCTATGTCTGAGTAGATGCTGCATAACTATAATGCTGTATTGAACAGAATTGAATCTTTGCCCCAAAGCATAGGATTTTTGCTTGTAGTAAAATGGAATAAACATATAGGCACATAAAAATATACTCTACATATGAGTAGGAAGAAAGTAAGAGCTGTGGGATATTCTAGTACAGGGTGAGTATCAAGAGCTAACAAGATGGTGAAGCCCTCACAAAAGAGATGAGGCTAAAGCTGGTTCTAGAAATATTGGAAGCATCTGGACACACATACCATATAGGGAAGGTTATTCCAGACCTGGGGAATTTCCTAAGCAAAGTAGCAGAGAAGAGTAAGCAAGGTATGTTTCGACAAATTAATAAATGAGGCCGACTTGAAAGGAAGGTTCATGGAATAGAGTAAGAATGGCTGCCTGGTAAATAAGAATTGGTTTGGCCAGGAGTGGTGGCTCACACCTGTAATCCCAGCACTTTGGAAGGCTGAGGCAGGCGGATCACAAGGTCAGGAGAACGAGACCATCCTGGCCAATATGGTGAAACCCTGTCTCTACTAAAAATACAAAAATTAGCTGGGTGTGGTGGCGTGCCTATAATCTCAACTACTTGGGAGGCTGAGGCAGGAGATCGCTTGAATCAGGGAGTTGGAGGTTGCAGTGAGCTGAGATCACACCACTGAACTCCAGTCTGGTGACAGAGTGAGACTCTGTCTCAAAAAAAAATAAAAATAAGAATTGGTTCGAGGATTACCTCAAGTGCTTAATCAGTTTGGATTTGAAGGTCTTGGAGCATTTTAAGTGATAGATAAAATACGTATTTTAAAAAATTAGTCTTGGGCAGAATTGATTTGGCCTAAGTTATAATCTATGAAAATGACAATGTATGAAAGTTATAATGTATGAAAATCTTCTGATAAAATCTTAGCATTAATTGAAAATATTGTGTATGTTTTCTTGTCATGTATAAATCAGGAAAGTATTGTTTCTTGTCAACATAAACTTAATAGCGTCTGATATTTGAGACTTATTGGTTAACTTTGAAATCTTCATGACCATTTTTTCTGGCAACTAGAACTAAAGAGACAATTGGCTCATAGAGCAAAAAATGAATGGAATTTAAGAGGAGAGGAAGGAGCTAGGATTTTGGATGCTCTTTTCATCCCTCATGAATATTGGAAAACTACATGACTTTGGAAGGATCTTTGGCATCAAACATAACTTAACTTTAATTTTGACTCTATCATTTTTTGGCTGTGCTGTCTTGGTGTAGCTACTTCTATCAATGTTGATTTCCTCATTAGTAAATGAAAAGAAATTATGCCTCCTTCTCAAGATCATTGTATTAAATGAGATATACATGTATGCCACAATGCGTGGCAAATACTAGAGGCTCAACTGATGTTATTTAGTTTTATTGTTGTTTTTGGTAAATGATGATATCAAGTGCAAAGGTCAGGTATAGAATACTCGCATAATAATGGTTGAACAAATTCTTATGATGACAATCATTAGCTGTAGTTATTATTTTTCAAATCTCTAATAAAGAAAAGCGAAGTTGTATGGGTCAAGAAAAGCCCTGGTTGTCACCCTTAGACTCCTTTGGCTTTGAATTCATTACCTAGTGATCTCTCTTCCCATTAACAGTTCTATGGCTCTTATTCTGGCTGGGGGAAAGGGCATTGGTACAACCCACAATACAGGCATATCTTCTTTAATACAAAACCTGTATGTAGGAGCTATTTCTCACCACCTCCTTGAATTTGAGAGTAACTTCAGGCCGATCATTTTTCCAGCCTGGGATCCCAAGGTGAGAGATTAAGTGCTTTTGTCATTATTTCTTGGAGAGATAGGGATGTTCAGCCTCCTGAACTGTGAGCCAGAGGCTTTTTATATGGAAAGAGCATTTTGATGTGAATTGTATTTTGTGAAATATGAATTTCAGCACCAAAATACTGTAGTCCTCACAGTTAACCTCTTGTTGAACATTAAATCAAATTATTGTTACTGGGAAAACTCCATTACATTACAAAGCAGAGCCAAGATTCTCAGGTTTACAAGCTTCATGTGCTAATTACATTCTGCTGCCGACAGCATGGGTGAGACTCTAAGGACATTTGGTATTCTAGAAGCTTATTTTATGGAGCCAAATTTAATCAGAATGTGGGTGACAAAAATGGATCATGACGTTAATGATCTACTGCATTAGAGTCCAAGTTGTTCATTGAGCGAGTGAGAGTAATGTTGTACAAGGTTTTTTTTCCCAAGAAATATTATTTTTCCTTACCTCCCCCAAGCAGTTCTGAATTGACCTTGGCAATGGAAACTAAAACCTCATTTAGGCCTGACAGAGAAGAGCTATGCCCTTACAGGTGCTAAGAGTATTGTTTGCTGGCTTTGAACACTAGATGGCAGAAATGCTCTTGTTAAGATTTGCCAAGTTGTCAAGGAGAGCAGTTTTATTGACAGCAATGATGAGCTCTCTTAATTAGTCACCCATACACATGAAAGCCACACAGGATGCTCTAATCGAAAGGGAGATGTACTTTGCAGTCCATAGGGAACTAGTTTTTACAATACGAATGGTTTGGCCGAGGATGCTTTTTATGAGGCCTGCCTATTCATTTCAGTAATGGAGTGGAGTCATCTAGGGCTTTGCTGCCCATTCATTAATGGGGAGTGTTAGGAGAAAAAGCCCTGACAGATCATTGTGTTTGCTCCTGAAAATCTCTGCATATGAGTTTTGGTGCCCAAGAAAAGACTGAGAGAAATAGCTTACTGCAATTTTTTCTCTCTCATGGTTGAGAGGAATGATTTGCTTCACAGCAGAGAAACCTAATTAAAGAATGGACCTTAGTAATGATCTAATAACCAGAATCTTGTCCAAGTGGTACTCAGCTATGTTACCATGCCTCAATATTATCTCTGACACTTTTTTGAAAAAAAAAAAGTAAGTGTCTCGTTATTACTCTAGCCACACAGAGTCAGAATCCCTGGAATATCTATATTGAAAAGGTATGTGGATGATTCTGAAGTGCAGAATTTTTATCCTTTAGTAATATTTTTAATTCCAGAATCAGAGTCAACCCTCCGTATGCTAAGTGCACTCGAAGGACCCAGTCTCCACAACAAAAAATTTTCTCTCAGCCTAACTGTAATGTGGATGTCTTCTCACTGGCCACTGGTTTGTATCAAAGACTCCTGGGATAAAGTGTAACAGTTATATAGAATGTAAGTCATTAGCAGACTTTAGCTTTATAGATTCAAATGATTTGATAGATTTTTCAAAAGTGATAAGTAAAGCACTGACTTAAAGCACTGAATTTCTCAGGGTTGAGAAAGGATTTTGACCTTAAATTTTGAGAAATACGGGGCTGAGTAGAGTATGGCACTGATACCACTAGTCACCTGGAAGGCAACATGTGAAGGGACTGGGGTTGTTATCAGGAAGGTGATGGGCTCTTGATCAGGAATTTGGAGGATACTTAAAAAAAGTCTTTGTCTGTTTTCTGACTCTACCATGGGCTGGCCAGGCTCTCTGCTGAGTATGAAAGAGCCCATTGAAAAGATATAATTTTAAGGACAGGAATGGAGAAGCTGCATCCAGTGGTTTCAATGGTACATTTAATCTCTAGGTGATCACAGAACAAAAGTCAAATCTTCTCATGTTGAACATTCACTTTTCTTTGTGTACAGGTTTTGGGGTTTTAGGAGTTGTTGGCGAGACTCTAAGACATTGAAATGAAAGGTTAAAAAGTGAAAAGTTCTATCAATCAGTCAAATGTGTGTGAGCCCAGTCTGCTTGATTATACTTTTCTTGTTGAGTTGATCTGCTATTTTAGTGTTATGAAGGCACAGTTTAAATTGCCACTCAATTTAAGTAGATTGTGTCTAACACTAGTCACTTCGGTGAAAAAAAATCAGTTGAACTTATTATTTGATGCCATGAAATACCAAAAACTTCCCTGATTTACTTAGCTTTTGATTCTTAAGTACTGTGTTAGCAAGGAAGTCCTAGCTAATCTGTTATGAAAAAATATCCAGAGAAATACCATTTTCTATTTTGGAGAAAAAAACATATTTATTAACTATGAATTAGCAAACTACTCCTCTATTTATTCATTAAATTTTACCAGAATCTTTTTCTCTTAACAGCTGCAGTAACATATTCATTATTATAACTTCATGAAAAATAAACACTGAATTCAAGAAACACAATAAATGTCTATGCCAGAATACATTTTGTATTCTTAGCTTAATCAACGTCTTAAATACCTGCTTTAGAAAACAGACTTGATCGACTTTCCAATATTTACAGTGATCTTGATGCAGTTCATACATAATGGCTAGATTTCAGAAACACTAAAAGGGAGCATAAGATGTACAGGAAAGTTTCCTCACTGAAAAAGATATTCATGTTTTCACAGCAGCCTGACTTTTTAAGTTTTGCAGATTACTACTATGCAGGGCATAGAATTGGAGTGAGTAATCCTCCTCATTCACTGATACTCTGATTTGAAACTTTTGCTGAAACCTGAAGAAACATACATTTCCCAAGCTATATTTTTTTTATTGCAGGCATGTATAAAGACTGCAATTATTTCTCAAGGAGAACCTGTCATAAATACTACATTGGAAGTTAGTCCAACATTTATAGCTTTAGCTTGGAGTTGCAATTGCTGGCAATATGTAAACATATTTGCCATTAGTGTTGAATAATGCTCCCTCACAGTCACAGAGAACATTGTTCTGCATTTGTGCTTCTTAATCTTGTTGAATAAGAGCATTGCAATGCAAGAAGGCTCATTGGCTAGTGTGGAAGTGGCAATGTGTTGCTTTTGAAAACTGGCTTGTAAATTTGTCCGGGTGAGCTGTTTTTATTAGTATGGTCACTGAAAGTATGGAATCATCAGACAGTAAGCAACCATTGGTAAGTGAGGCAGATGATAAACCCTTATTTAACTCTCCATTTATTATTTGGTTACTGATTTGCCTGCTTGTACTAAAAACAAAGATTTACTTTACTCAGGAAGGAAATAAATTTCTCTCTTGTTTTTTATTTTTGTTAAATAATCAGTTATGAATAAGGGGCATCAGGTCAACATTTCATATATGCTAATGATTGATTGGATAAGAGAGTTCTTTTCTTTAGACCTTCACCTTTGATTTCTAAATGAAAGGTGCTTTCAAAGACTGGCTGCCTGAAATAACACATGATGAATTTACATTACTCTATGGTTTCTTCAGGTAGGTGTGAATGCTTCTTATCAGGTGTGCC
Source organism: Homo sapiens (assembly GCF_000001405.40). Taxonomy (NCBI): domain Eukaryota; kingdom Metazoa; phylum Chordata; class Mammalia; order Primates; family Hominidae; genus Homo; species Homo sapiens. The sequence goes on from NC_000010.11 coordinate 52,820,993, forward strand.
AATAAGTCATTTTGTCAAATGTGTAATTGAAACGTCAATGGAGTGGATGAACTCTGTGTAAATATTCAGCTCATCATGTAGTAGCAGGTAATAGAATCATTATTTTGCTAGATTTGAGCTATAGTGATTGGATCGAGGGACACTTTGAAACAGGAGAAAATCACTAACATCATTTGACATCATTCCACTTGGAAGTGGAAAAGTGATTCTATGTAAGGAAGACCTCTCTCACTCATTTCAGTCATCCTTAAATCATAGCATTATATGTCCTTGGAACAACTTTGTGTTCAGTTTTTGCAGTAAAGTCAGATAGGCTTAATGTCCTTTTAATTACCTTATGAATTTCAGGTAGTAGTTGTAAATTGATGTCTTAATATTTACTGTTAGGGAAGTTTCGTTTACCCTGCATACTTCTGGTCTGCAATTTTTAAAAAAAATTTATTGGTCATTCCCAACACTTACAATTCATACATTTTTAATTAAGTCCATGTTTTTGGTTTCAAGTCCATGTTTTTGGTTTCTTTAAAATAATGAACAATATGACAACACTGGCTCTGTGTTTATACAAACATAGATTGGAGTTACATAGCAGCTGCCACATTTAGACAGAAGAAGAAAAGTTCTTCGGTCTGCCACATTCTCCTGTCTTTCTTAATTTTTGCTCTGAGATTGCTAGCCTCCATTTCTTATCATGCTTGCATTGTTGTATTTGTGATAGTAGAGCTAAAAGGGAAATAAAACATTTCCCATAAAAATTGCTTATCAGAAGTGGGAAAATGAAAGCCAGAGGGAGAAGATCATATGTTTTCAGAAACAGTCATGGGATTTTCTTGTGAAATCTGTTTTTTCTAGATTTCTTCCATCTACTAATCTATGAGGCAAAAATGTCCACATTCAAAACCTGCTCCAGGCGGCTTTGCTCCATGTTTCAAACCTTCTTCCTCCACCCATGTTTAGTATGGAGACCACCGATACCTTGCTTTGTGGCACTGATACCTCATAGACTCTCAGGGACACGATTGCTCTTTCTAACTATAAGAAGTACTGATGACAACTGCCAAAGCTCTCCCAGTATGCTTAGTTTTTCTTTTGCTTAGTTTTGTATATTTTCAAAGAAAATCTGTGATTTTTCACCCTGGCATAGAACAATTTACACCCTGATTTTGTTTTACAAATTACAGAGCGGATAGACATAATAGGCAATCCTTTTGTGTGTGTGTGTGTGTGTGTGTGTGTACAGTATTTCATGATTCTTTACCTATCATTCCTGGTCACTCTCTAGAAACTGTATTATGATCATATAGATTCTGGAAGCAATCAGACGTAGACTTCTAGTTCAAATGTTGCTGAAGACCTGAGTTCAGAGAAGGAAGATGGACAAAATTATAATCAGAGAGAAATGCTGCTTCTGTTATTTGTGAGAATTGTAATAGTGCAAGGAGTGAGATTAAGATGTTATTTAAAAAGGAAAAAAAATCTGGTTAATATAGTCCAAGTTCCCAAAGAGAATATATACTGCCAGAGTAAAAATAATAAATGTAAGGGCATTTTCCATTATGCAGTGAACTTGGCCTGAAAACACGGTGTAGAACTTGATTATATATACACAGAAATTATCTGTCTACACCAAGGACAGGCTTGGGGCTCTCTTACCAACGTAGCATTTATATATGTAGTCTCATCTACTTCCTTCTTCCCAACCCCATAACTGACTCTAGATCTTCCTGCTTTAACGGCAAGGTCAGAGATAACTAGAGAAGCAGCATCAGCAACTCTCAGGTCCATTTTTCATCACCAATGAAATGGAATAAAGCAGGTATAAGAGGAAGAAGGCAGCTAAGTGAAACAGATGACCAGGTTTTTAGCCTGTCTCTGCTTTACTTCTCAGGCTTCATGGAGCAAGTATCAGGTGAATATATCTTTATACACATGATATTTAACAACTTTGAAAGATATGCATCCCAGGGCATCAGTCTAATCCACAGACAAACTCCTCCCCTCTGAGGATGAATTAAGTGCAACCTCTGCAAAAACAACAACAACCCTAAGTTAAACATGTGTTTGTATGTGTGTGTGTGTACACACACTGATTATAAATTATATTGATATAAAGGATGTATAACACTCAATTTCTAAATAATAACAAAATATATGATAGTCTCCATTATAAATTCCACATTGCCAGTTGATTCTTATGGAACATTTTCATTGATTTTTGCCCAACTCTTGTATCTGTAGTGAAACTATGGTTGTAATTGATGGATGAGTATAGTTCTGACATAAATGCTGGTTGTAACTCTTATTTACCTTAATGAGTAAGATGAAAAGGAAACAACAAGGATGTATACCCATACTTCACTAATGTTTCATGGAAGTGAGTGGCTTTGCTGAATGAATCAAAATATAATTTGTGAATACAGTACAACTACATCCTCAATGTTTTGTACTATTTATAATGTAAAAGCTGCATACATAACAAGTTTTTTAACTTCAATATGCAGTATTAACATCTTTTACATCTACAGTTCTAGTCAGGAATAAATGACAGTCTGTGTGACAGTGCTCAGCACACAGCCTAGCAGATACTAAGTACTTATTCAATGGTAGTATTCCTCCTCTTCTTTCCCCATGTCCTCAAAACCAGCTCACCAAACAGCATCATGAAACATGCACCAGGAAAAAGCAAAGCCAGCATGCCAGTGTCTTAGTCTATTTGCTGCTGCTATACCAGAATATCACAGACTGGGTAACATAACAACGAGGAAAATTTATTTCTCCCAGTTTTGGAGACTGGGAAGGCCAAGAGTACTGCATCTTGTGAGGGTCTTCATGCTGTGTTATCCCATGGTGGAAGACAAAGAGGAAGGTGAGACAGAGAGAGGCAATCAGTCCAAACTTGTGTTTTCATCAGAAACTCATTCCCTAGATGGTGGCTCCTCCTCCTAGAGGGGAGGAGTTTGTCTATGGATTAGACTGATGCCCTGGGATGTACATCTTTCAAAGTTGTTAAATATCATGTGTATAAAGAAATATTCACCTGGCTTTTATTCATGAGGGTGGAGTCCTTATAACCTAACCACCTCTTAAAGATCCCACCTCTCAATACTGTTACAATAGCAATTACATTTCAAAATGAGTTTTGGAGGGGACATTCAAACCATAGCTGTTAGGAAAAATAGTAGTTATTAATATTTACTAAACACTTATCATAGGCTAGTCACTTCTCACGTGTAATTTATTTTAATATTTACAGTAATGCTATGAGGTAGGCACTATCAGTATATCAATCTACAAGTGGGTAAATTGAGGGCAGAGATATTAAGTAAATTTCTAAAATTCATATGGTCAAAATATGGAAGAATAACTCTCCTCTGATTTTGTAACCCACAATCTTAGAAACTGTTTTATAAAGATATGACATAAAATAATATTGAAGAATTTGTAAAATATGAATTTTTAAAATAAGTTTATGTTCCAATATTGAAATTAAAATAATAAAATAAATCTCCTATTCCTTTATTGACACACACACACAAAAAGTACCAGGATATGCACAGAAGACACTCTTTGCCCCTGTTTTTTCTTAGTCGGCTCAGTCACAGGCCATTGGTGGTCTCTCTGGACTCTGGCTTCCTCCTTCACAGCTTTAGCCAAGTGTGTTTCCCTTTAAAAGTGATATTGCTCCTTGGCACCATTAATTACCTCTGAAATTGGAAAAAAATTCGGCTCCAACTTTCTTATATATTTCATTTTTCCAAAATCTCAGGAGATAAAAACACATAAGAATTAAAGCACCAGTTATTTTTTAGCTGCAGTAATTTGCAACTTAAGAAACCATTTTGTTACAGTATACCCAAGCCAAAGTATTAATCTCAGGACATAGCAAATATTTCGTTCTAGATCTTGTTGCTATAGATCATGCCAAACTTTTATCTTGGAGAAAAATAATATATAGAAAAATCAGAAGAAAGCAAAGTTTATATAATATATATGTGTGTACCTATATAATTTCTCTATGTGTGTGGATGTACATATGTATATATGTGTGTGGTTATATATGTGTATGTATATGTAAATACACATATATACATATATACACAACCACACACATATATATATTTACATATGTAGGCGGCCCTTTGTATTTTTGGATTCTGCATCCATGAATTCAATTATGGATGCAAAATAGTTGAGGAAAAAAATTGCATCTGTATTGAAAATGTATAGACTTTTTCTTGTTTGTATTCCCTAAACAATATAGTATAACAACTATTTACATAGCATTTACATTGCACTCAGTATTATAAATAATCTAGAGATTATTTAAAGTATGTGGAAGGATGTGGGAAGGGATGACTGTATTTAATTGTGTGTATAATTATGTATATATGTGTATATGTGTGTGTGTGTGTGTGTGTGTGTGTATAGATAGAGAGAGAGATAAGAGAGATAGATCTTTCCAAATCTGTCAATTTTCTTAAGTCTAGGACCTGTGAGTGAAATCTCAACTGAGAGAAGTCCTCCCTCAGGAAGTTAATGATGACATAGTAGCCCTTATTCTTGGGACAGAGTTGGGGGACCACAACCAATGCATATTAACTCATCTCTAAAAATGACATGTAAAACATTTTAATATTTAAAAATCTGCCATAGTGCAATTGCAAATCCTCAGAATTTCCGTCATGTTGCCTTCTTCCTTGTGATGTTCATTAATATATGTAAAACCTATGTCCTTTCAATTTCCTCTTAGCCCCTCCTGGCATTCCAGTGCTGTATTAAGAGGACCTCCATCTAGGAATGAACTTTAATTCTATATCTCTAATAGGCACATCTTCAAAAAGAGTTCAGAAGCTTTGTTGGTGTTGAGTCCCGCTGTAGAATTACTTAAGACTTTGGTTTATTTCTAACGGAGTACCCCTTACCACATATTTAACTGATCCAGTTGTTTTCCTATTTTCTTTACTTAGAACACTATTCTTGGTTCCTTCTTTGATTTCGTCTGATCTGCAAACATCTTCATTATTTAAAACCTGGATCATGTGAACACTGTTCTTTAAAATCAATAAAATTTATAAGCAGATCTTTTTTTCAGGAGAGAGCAAGTCTTCAGAACTGTTCTGAACTCTTTAACCTCTGGAAAGTGCACCTGAAGAGAGAATGTGTCCATTTGCACTTAAACATAACTCCTGTTAAATCTTCACTTCCTGGAACTATGATTCAATGACCTGCCCTATCCATTATATGAGATCAAAGAAAAGCCAAGGGGGGAGGACAGAGAGGAGCCATCAGCTTTCCTTGATTTTCACACTAGATAGCACAGTTATTAAAATCATACATCAATCAAGCACCCACACTACCTTTCAATAAACCGTTTCCCTAATGTCTCACTTCTTGAGCATACCCTTTCTCATCTCCACCTCTAGAGAATAATACCTTCTCTCTAAAAGTAAGGAAAATTAGCCCCTACCACATCTTTGCCTCAGATTATCTTGCAATCTTGTGAACCAAAGTAGTGTAGTGATTAAAGGCACACACTTTCTGTTCATAATCTGGCTCTGCAACTTAATAGCCATGCGAATTTGTTCAAGCCTCCATTTCCTTTTGGGAAGAGTAGAGATATTTGTTAATAAATGTACCCAGCTCATAGCATTTCCATGGGAATGAAATATGATACTGAAGCTCCTAGCATAGTATCTGCCCAAAGTGGGGAATTAGATGAATGCTGTGTATCTCCTTTCCCTTCTCCTTTTCCTCTTACTTCATAATATTTGTCTTTGTTGTCACATGTATACATTTATTTTCTTGTCTTCATCTTTAGCAGCATTATGATTTCTGCATGAGGCAAAGTAGTGGGAAGCAAGAGGATTCAAAGAAAGAAATGTATTGTGTGTGTGTGTTTGGGGTGGGGGGAGAATACTCAGAAAATGTAGGAAATTTTATTGTTCATGCTAATAATCAATAATTCTAACCATTGTTGGAGTATTTACTAGATTGTAATTACTGGTGAGGTCCTTATATGCATTACTAGTATTTGATTCTCACAACTTTTTAGGATAGATAATATTACCTTTAACTGCGAAGAGGATAACTAAATCCCAGAAGAAATAAGCGCAGATGGACATCTACGAAATGTTGAGTGATAAATAAAGCCAAATCTCACTGTGTCAATATTTATCCTGTTTATATACCCCGACTCTATAAAAAGAATAAAAGAACAAATGGAAAGGAGTGGGGAAAGGAAAGTTCATAGGAAAAGAGAAGAATGAAGAAGAGAGGCTGGAGGTAGAGGAAGATGGTCAAAGATAACCCTCTAGTGATCATCCCTCCTGCAGGAACATCAAATTGAATAACCATCCATGCAAGAAAGCACCTTTACAAGAACTAAAAAATCAGGTAAGAGATCAGTTTCTGGTTGTAATGTAATAGGATGGAAACATGCATGGAAGAGGGTAGGAAAGAGTTTCAGTTGCCTACACCACCCCTCCCCCAACAGGCAGTGCAGCCCAGAGAGGCAATCTGTGCACTCAAGAGAGGGAGAGCAAAGTGACTGTGGGATTTTGTATTAGAACTCAGTCCCACCTTGTCACAGTGGAACACAACACTGAAAAGAATCCTGCCATTGCCCATAGAGAAAGCATTTAGATCACCCCTGGGCTAGAGGGGAGTCTGCCACTCCTGGAGGAGAAACCCAATTTCCAGCCTTCTTAACTACTGGCTCACTAAAGTGGCCTTGGGACCTGAATAAATTTTAATGGCAGCCAGGCATAGCAACTGCTGTTCTTAGGAAAGCCCTGGTGCTGCACTGGTCTTGGAGGCTGTGGTCCTAGGGTGTGATCCAGTGTGACATCAGCTGTGGCAGCCACAGGAGTGCCTGCATCACTCCTCCCCCAACTCCAGACAGTACAGTGCAGAAAAACTCCTTCCACTTAAGGGAAGGAGAGGGAAGGAGAGAAAAGAGTAGAGACTTTGTCTTGCAAGTGGGTACCAGCCCAGCTACAGTAAAACAAAGCATCAGGCAGGATCCCAAAGCCCCTGATTTCAGGTTGTTACTCCAGGATAACACTTCTAGTTGTACCCTGGGCCAAAAGGAAATCTTCTGCCCTGGTGGAGCAGACACAAGGCCCCCCCATCCCGCAAGCTTCAACGTCTCTGACTAAAAATGGCTTCAGGCCTTGAATAAACATCAGTGTCAGGCAGAAACAATCATGGGCTTTGGGTGAGCCCTGGCATTGTGCTGGTCTGAGAGACTATAGGCTTTGAGTACAACCCAGCATAGTGCCAGCTGCGGTGCCTGTGACAGTGCCTACATCATCCCTCCTCCAACTGCAGGAAACATAGCATACACACACACACACACACACACACACACACACACACACACACAGAGAGAGAGACTCCTTTCACTTGAGAGAAAGAGAAGAAAGTAAAGGACTTTGCCTGAGAACACAGATAATTCTCCCTTACCTTTCCCAAGTCCATCAGTGCTGATATCTAGAAATAACCAGTATCACAGTGTAGGCTTAGAGAGCCCTCTAGTACTGAAATGGGTGCAGTTACCATGGGCTTAGGTAACTCAATACTCAACTTCCTATGACTTCTTAGAAGGCCCTCTGTAGAAGTATGAATACACACAAAACCAGACTGTGAAGACTGAAATAAATACCTAACTCCTAAATGCCCAGACATCCACAAATATTCACAAGCATAAAGAATATTCAGGAAAATATGACCTCACAAAATGAACTAGATAGGGTACCAGTGACCAATCCTGGAATAATGGAGAAATATGAATGCTCAGACAGACAATTGAAAATAATTATTTTAGGGAAATTTAACAAATGTTCAGCAAGCACGGAGAAGAAATTAAGGAATGCATCAGAGAAATTCAACAAAAATATTGAGGTAATTTAAAAAAACAAAAATTCTGGAGCTGTAAAATTCAAATGATGAACTGAAAAATGCATCAGATTGTCTCAAAAGCAGAATTGATCAAGCAGAAGAAATAATTAGCTTGAAGACAGGCTGAAAATACAGAAAGGAGAAAAACGAAAAGGTACACTTTCAAGATCTAGAAAGTAACCACATAAGGGCAAATCTAAGAATTATTGACCTTAAAGAGGAAGTAAAGGAATAAATTAAGACAGAAAATTTATTCAAAAAATAATAACAGATAACTTGTCAAACCTAGAGGAAAGTAAGAATAACCAGGTGAAAAGGTCAACAAACACCAAGAAGACTCAACCCAAATCAGATACTACAAGGAATGTAATAATCTAACTCTCAAAGGGCAAGGGCAAAGAAAGTACCCTAAAAGCAGCAAGAGAAAATAAGTAAATAACGTATAATGAAGCTATGATACATCTGGCAGTAAATTTCTTGGCAAAAGTTTACAGGCCAGGAGGGAGTGGAATGACACATTAAAAGTGGTAAAGAAAAAAATAACTTTGAACCTAAAATACTGTACTCCAAAAAGCTATCCTTCAAACACATAGGAGAAATAAAGACTTTCCCAGACAAACAAAAGTGAATGGAATTCATCATTACCAGACTTGTCTTACAAACAATACTACAGGGGACTCTTTGATCTGAAATAAAAGAATGCTGACATGCAACAGGAAATCATCTGAAAGAATAAAGCTCATTGATAAAAGTAAGTACACAGACAGATTAAGAATACTCTAATGCTGGATATACCTAAAGTAAATGACAAGCTAACGGGTGCAGCACACCAGCATGGCAGGCACATGTATACATATGTAACAAACCTGCACGTTGTATACATGTACCCTAGAACTTCCTAGGAAGATGGGTTAAAGTATGCAGGATTTTTTTAACAATTTTTTCTTTGCTTCTTTTCTTTGTAATCAAAGTTGAGTTGTCATTAATTTAATTTGTTATATCTATAAAATATTTCTTGTAAGACTCATGATAAATGCAAAGCAAAAACCTATAATAGAAACCTATGTGAAAAAGAAAAAGAAAGGAATTAAACATGCTCTCAGAGAAAATCACTTATCCACAAAGGAAGAGTGTAACAAAGGAAGAAAATAAGAGAAGACTTACAAAACAGCCAGAAAACAAGTAACAAAATAGTAGTTGCAAATTCTTACCTATCAATAACATTGACTGTAAATGAGATAAAATCTATATGCTGCCACAAGAAGCTCACTTCACCTATAAATGCACACATAGACTGAAAGTGAAGACATGGTAAAATATATTCTATGCAAGTGGAAATCAAAAAAGAGCAGGAGTAGCTATAATTAAATCAGATAAAATAGACTTCAAGTCAAAAACTGTAAAAAGAGACAAAGAAGGTCACTATATAATGATGAAGTGATCACTTCAACAAGAGCATATAATTGTAAATATATATGCAACCCACAATAGAGTACCCAAATATATAAAGCAAATATTAAAAGATATAAAGGGAGAGCTAGACTACAATAATAATAGGGGACTAAAACACCCCACTATCAAAAACTGACAGATCATTCAGACAGAAAATCAACAAAGAAACATTGGAATTAATGTGACCAAATAGACTTAGCTGGTATTTACAGAGCATTTTATCCAACTGCTGCAGAATACACAGTCTTCTCGTCAGCACGTAGAATATTATCCGGGATAGAACATATCCTGGTTACGGTCTATTTAGTCCACAGAGCAAGTTTCAACAAATTTAAAAAATGAAATCATATCAGCTCTTTTTTCTGAGCATGATAGAATAAAACTAGAAATCAATAACAAGAGACACTTTGGAAGGTATGCTAATATGTGGAAATTAAACAACATTCTCTTAAAAAAATATGGGTCAATATTAAGAAAACAAAACTTGTTTGAAGCAAATGAAAATGGAAATACAACGTATCAAAACCTATGGGATACAATAAAAGCAGTACTAAGAGGGAAGTTTATAACAGTAAACATCTACATCAAAAAACCAAAAAGACTTCAAATAAACAACCTAACACTGAGCCTTAAAGAACTAGAAAAGCAAGAACACAGCAAACCCAAAATAGTAGAAAGAAAGAAATAGTAAAGATTAGAGTGGAAATACATGAAATTAAGACTAAAATTATACAAAATTAACAACAAAATTAAAAGTTGTTTTTTCGAAAACAGAAACAAAAGTGATAATCCTTTAGCTAGACTTAAAAAAGGCGAGAAAGCCCATATAAATAAAATCAGAGAAGGGTTTTTGTAGACTATTATGAACAATTGTATGCCAGTAAACTGGAAAACCTTGAAGAAATAAATAAGTTCCTAGACACATACAACCTACCATGGTTGAACCATGAAAAATAAAAAACCTGAACAGAACAATAATGACAAATGGGATAGAAGCAATAATAAAAAGTCTGTCATCAAAGAAAAGCTCAGGACCTGATTGCTTTACTGATGAATTATATAAAATATTTAAAGAAGTACTAATAGTAATTCTACTCAAACTCTTTTTAAAAATTAAAAAGTAGAGCATACTTCCAAATGCATTCTGTGAGGTCATAATTAATCTAATGCCAAAACCAGACAAAGACACGCACAAAAAAGAAAACCATGGAACAATATCCCTGATGACCGTAGATGTAAAAATTCTCAACAAAATACTGGCAAGCCAAATTCAACTGCACTTAAAAAGGTCATTTATAATGATCAAATGAGATTTATCTCTGGGATGCAAGTATGGTTCAACATACACAAATCAATCAATATATCACATTAATGGAATAAAGGACAAAAACCATATGATCATTTCAATAAATGCTAAAAAGCATTCAAGGGCTGGGCACGGTGGCTCATGCCTGTAATCCCAGCACTTTGGGAGGCTGAGGTGGGTGGTACACTTGAGGTCAGGAGTCTGAGACCAGCTTGGCCGACATGGTGAAAACCCATCTCTACTAAAAAAATACAAAAATTAATCAGGCATAGTGGCACACGCCTGTAATCCCAACTACTTGGGAGGCTGAGGCAGGAGAATCACTTGAACCTGGGAGGTGGAGGTAACAGTGAGTCGAGATTGTGCCACTGCACTGCAGCCTGGACAGCAGAGTGAGTCTCTGTTAAAAAAATAATAATAATAATAAAAATAAAAAAAAAGAGGAGACAGAGAAGCAGAAGCAGCAGCATTCAATAAAATTTCACGTTTTCATGATAAATAATCTCAACAAGGTAGATATAGAAGGAACATACTGCCAAACAATAAAGTCCATATATAACAAAATCACAGCCAATATCATACTGAAAGGGGAAAAATGGAAAGCTTTTCCTCTAAGATCTTGAACAAGACAAAGATGCTCACGTTCACCAATTTTATGCAATGTAGTACTGGAATCCTAACCAGAGCAATTAGGCAAGAGAAAGAAAGAAAGGTATCTAAATTGGAAAGGAAGAAATCAAATTGTTCTTGTTTGAAGATGACATGATCTTATATTGAGAAACACCTAAAAACTCTGTCAAAAAACTGTTAGAACTGATAAATGAGTTCAGTGTGAAGTCACAGAATATAAAATCAACATGCAAATTCAGTAGCATTTTTATATACCAAAGCAAATAATCTGAAAGAGAAATCAAGAAAAAAATGCCATTTGTAATAGCTACAAAAAGTAAAATAAAGTATCTAAGAATAAACTTAACCAAAGAAGTGAAAGACCTCTACAATGAAAACTGTAATACTTCGATGAAATAAATTGAAGATGACATTTAAAAAATGGAAACATCTTCTGTATTCCTGGATTGGAAGAATTAATTTTGCTAACATGACCATACTGCTTGAAGGAATTTACAGATTCAAAAAAATCCCTATCAACTAATGATGTTCTTCACAGAAATAGGAAAAAACATTCTAAAATTTGTATGAAACCACAGAAGATTCCAAATAGCCAAAGCAATCCCGAGCAAAAAGAATAAAGCTGGAGGCATCACATTACCTGACTCCAAAATATATTACAAAGCTATAGTAACCAAAACAGCATGGTACTGACATAAAAACAGACACATGGACCAATTAAACAGAATAGAGAACCTAGAAATAAATTCATACATTTTCAGCTGACTCATTTTCAACAAAAGTGCAAAGAACATACATTAAGAAAAAGATAGTCTCTTCACTAAATGTTCTTGGGAAAATAGGATAACCATAGGTAGAACAGTAAAAGTAGATCCCTATCTCTCATCATATATTAAAATCAAGTTGAAATGGATTAAAGACTTAAATATAACACCTGAAACTATGAAATTACTACAAGAAAACACTAGGGAAACACCTCAGGACATTGGTTTGGGTAAACGATCTTAAGTAAGTCTTCAAAAGCATAGGTAACCAAAGCAAAAATTGACAAATAGGATTACCTCAAGGTAAAAAACTTTTGCAGAGCACAGGAAAAAATTAACACAGTGAAGGGACAACATATAGAATGGGAGAAAATATTTGCAAACTATCCATCTGACAAGGGATTAGTAACCAGAACATATAATAAACTCAAACAATTCAATAGCAAAAACAAATAATTCAATTAAAAATTGGCAAAGTATTTGAATAGACATTTTTAAAAACAAGACAAATGGTGCATGGGTATATGAAAAAATAATCAACATAACTAATTATCACGGGAATGCAAATCAAAAACACAATAAACTATTCTCTCACTACAGGTAAAATAAATTTTATTCAAAGGACATACAATAATGAATGCTGACAAGGATGCGGAGAAAGTGGAAAAGTCGTACACCGTCAGTGGAAATGTAAAGTAGTACAGACACTATGAAAAACAGCATGGAGTGTCCTCAGAAATACTAAAATTAGAACTACCATATGGTTCACCAATCCCACTGCTAGGTATATATGCAAAGGAAAGAAAATCGGTGTATTAAAGACATATCTGCACTCCCATGTTTATCACAGCACTATTCATAATAGCTAAGACATGGAATCAACCTAAGGGTTCATCAAAACATGGCTGGGTAAAGAAAATGTTTACATATATCATATATATATTCATATGTATATCATATATATTCATATATACGTACATTCATATGTATCATATATATTCATATATATTCATATATATCATATATTCATATATATCATACATATTCATATTATCATATATATTCATACATATCATATATATTCATATATATCATATATATCATATATATTCATACATATCATATATATTCATATATATAATATATATTAATATGTATTCATATATATCATATATATTCATATGTATTCATATATATCATATATATTCATATGTATTCATATATATCATATATATTCATATGTATTCATATATATCATATATATTCATATGTATTCATATATATATCATATCATATATATTCATATAAATCATATATAGTCATATATATCATATATCATATAATATATATCATATATCATATAATATATATCATATATGTCATATATATCATATATATAATATATATCATATCATATATATCATATATATCATATCATATATATATCATATGTATCATATCATATATATCATATATCATATCATATATATCATATATATCATATCATATATCATATGTCATATCATATATATCATATATGTCATGTAATATATAGCACATATGTCATGTAATATATAGCACATATGTCATGTAATATATAGCATATATGTCATGTAATATCATATATGTCATATAATATATATCATTTATCATATATATCATATATATCATATATCATATATCATAATCATATATGATATATAATATATCATATAATATATATCATATAATATATATCATATATGATATATAATATATCATATAATATATATATTATATATCATGTATATTCATATATATCATATATAATATATATCATATTCATATATATCATATATAATATATCATATATGTTCATATATATCATGTATATTATATATCATATATGTTCATATCATGTATAATATATATCATATATGTTCATATATATCATGTATAATATATATCAAATATGTTCATATATATCATGTATAATATATATCAAATATGTTCATATATATCATGTATAATATATATCATATATGTTCATATATATCATGTATAATATATATCATATATGTTCATATATATCATGTATAATATATATCATATATGTTCATATATATCATGTATAATATATATCATATATGTTCATATATATCATGTATAATTTATATCATATATGTTCATATATATCATGTATAATTTATATCATATATGTTCATATATATCATGTATAATATATATCATATATGTTCATATATATCATGTATAATATATATCATATATTCATATATATCATGTTTAATATATATCATATATATTCATATATATCATGTATAATATATATCATATATATGAATCCTATTTGACCATAAAAAGATTAAAATCATGTAAATTGCAGCCACATGGATGGAACTAAAGGTCATTATGTTAAGCGAAATAAGCTAGTCATAGAAAGACAAATATTGCATGTTCTCACTTATATGTGGGGGCTATAAAAACTGACATCATGGAGGTTGTGAATAGAATGGTGGTTGCCAGAGGCTGGGAAGGATAATGATGAGGGCAAAGAAAGAAGGATTTATTAATAGATATAAAAATACAGTTAGATAGAAGGAACAAGGTCCAGCATCGATAGCATAATAGGGAGGCTGTAGTAAAAAATAATTTGTTGTATATTTCAAAATAGCTAGAAGAGATTTGGAATTTTCCCAACACAAATAAATGATACAAGTTGGGGTAATTAATATTTCAGTTATCCAGATTTGATCATTATATATTGAATGCTTGTATCAAAATGTTACATGTACCCCCATCAATATGAACAACTATTGTAAACAAGAATATGGAGAGAAAGCATAATAGCAGTGCTGAATCTTCTAACTGTCATGTAACACATTTGAACATGAATAGAGGCACATAGCCTAATCCTAAAGAAAGATTGTGTGTAGGATTTTCAAGATTCAGGAAAATATTTATAGGCCTTGGGTTAGGTGCGGGGAGGTTGGTGGTGTAAGTGAGTGAGACATGTAAGTGAGTTGGGAACTGTGATGAGGTGGTGGGTGTCGGAGACTTCTTCAATTTCTATCTGGCAAGTGTTACTAAGGAAAAATATGTAATGGGAAAACTAGTGCTAGCTGTTTGTTCTTAGGGAAATTCATTCAAGATTTAAGAGAAGAGAAGGGAGAAGCAATTAGCCAGGTAAGGAATGAATATTGCTTTGTAAAGGAAACTTTATAAGCACTTCAGGTAGTATAGATAGCTGTGCCTTGCTGTGAATTTGTCAGTTTTCTTGTCTTTCTAAGTTTGAATTTTCATGCTCACATAGAAATAAGCTGTTTATAAAAATTAGCCATAGGCAGGAGATTTCCAGAATATTTTGAATTTCTGACTTTGTGACATGACATTGTTTCCTACTTATTTTTTCTTTCTGCTCTTGTATGTGCAAAAAAATGTGACCAGTGAAATGTGACCCTCTTGGATCCTGGACTGACCCTTGCAGATAATCATCGAGTGAGGACACTGTTATAAATGATACTAGAGAGTGACCAGCATACCTCCTATAGAGTCCTGGTTTTCTTCCACTCTTATTGCTACATTTTTTGTGTCTCTCTCAAAATTGATTGTGAGATGCCAGGGCATAGGAATATCTTCTTCGCTCTTTCATTCTTTTTTTAAAAATAATATAATGTGTGTGTTTACTGATTTATTATTAAAAATCAAGAAAATCAGTTGCAGAATTTACATTGTTTGACTATTTATTTCCCTTTCTTTCTTGTTTAATATAACTGTATTTCAGGCATCCTTTTTTTATTCCACAACATAGTTACTTTTTTCCTCTTTGAGAAGAATTTTCTAACACGTTGTAATTTAAGTGTAGCTAAGAAGTGAAACCCTTTCAATTTTATCTTATAGCATCCAGGATGATGTGATCTTTCTATGTAAAATCCATGCTGGTGTTTTGCAAGCTATTATCAGCCAAGAGCTAGAGTCAAAAGTAAGGGGATAAAAAAGTCTCTTAGATATTATGACAGAATTGAAGTGACGATAATGTTCATATACCATGAAAGTAATGTAATACCTTCTTCTCCATGCAGATTTCCTGATGTTATCCTTGTATTAGGAGGAGATGTATTTTTACCTCCTCTCACTCAATCCTTCAGATTTCTTTCAATCAGAAGGAAATATCAGTTAAATTGAGATCATAGAGCAGGATATTTATTTAATTGCAATCTTATCACTGAATGTGGCTGGTGCTTTCTAATGTAGTTAGAAGCAATGGTATAAACTATATACCTCAAAGGAATATTCAACTTAGCATTTCAGAAATTCCACTGTCTTGTCCTGTTGGCTGAGTGAAATATACATATATATATATATGTCCATGTTTCGCCTTTGATTCCGGGGAAAAATGTGTGCTTTTAAGAATTCTATGCACTTTTTATAGTACACATTTTCCAGTTACGTGATTCTGATTATATGGAGGCTGCATTTTTTTCATTGTTGTGAGCTATTTTACAACTCTTCAAGTTTTAGATGGAAATGTAAATAATTGTTATCTATAGTAAAGCAAATAACCTGGTTCAATGGAGGGACAACCTCACTCCCTCTGTGAAAGAGAACATTTTGCATCTGTCTGTAAATGCATGCCAATATTCCTGGCTTATAAATGTCCCTATCTTTGGATATACCTTTGAACTGGCTTTCTCATTTAATAATGAATTAAATAAAATCACTGGCATGTGTTCATTTTTTATCTATATGAGAATCACGATTTGCCTTAAAAAAATTTTGTTTGTTAACAATCCCAATATCTCAACATTGGAGCTAGAGAAGCAATCTCTTTCCTTTTCACTGTATTCCATTTCATTTACTAACATTTAGAAACAAGTAATAACTTATTTTGCTTTTGTCATGAGGGCTATGGTACCACAATACATTTTAAGTGAAGGTACCAAAAACCTGTCTAGGTAATTCTCTAAAAATCATTTGTAGCACATTTAACAAATTATGGTAGCAAAGAATGTGGCCAAAGATGGGCTATTTGGTAGAGTTTAGGCCTTATCCAGTAAGGCAGATATTTCAGGTATTAAACAAATTCACTGATGAACATGCCATAAATTAGGAGGTTGATTTCTGTAAGCAGCTTTATAATTTTATGAGCTTCAAAGTAAAATCAGCTACTTTATTTGCTGGAAGTTTATTGCTGTTTAATGCAAAAGATCAATTATGAATAGGATTCTCCTTTATGATGGAGCTCTATTAGTTTATTTCAAAGAGAGTTAATGCAATTATAAATTATTCTTGTAAGCACCATTTCTTTAATGCCAGTTAAAGCTATTATTACCTGGAAAAAGATCAAGGTCTTTTAAAAGTGTTCAAAATAGTAATATCCAAAGAAGAAATACTGATGAATTTTTAAATATCTCCGTTCATTTACTTTTTTTCCAGGAGAGGAGCCAGAGCCTTGAGGGATTTAAAATCATTCTTTTGGATTTCCTAATAAAATGGCGTATCTGTGTATGTCTGTGTTGTCTGTCATTTGGCAAACTTTTCCCACAGGAAACAAAAAAGAAAGTCAGAGCTAGTTTATATTCTGAATTTTAATATTCAAGACCATGCTTATAAACATTTTTTGTTCTGGTAGAACTCCTGGGAAAAGCTAAGTACATTTTTTTCTTTCTTTTTTATTTACTTATTTTTTTCTTTATTTCTTCTTAAAAAAAAACGGGATACATATACAGAACGTGCAGGTTTGTTTCATAAGTGTATGTGTGCCATGGTGGTTTGCTGCACCTATTGACCCGTCCTCTAAGTTCCCACCCCTAAACCCCCATCCCCCAACAGGCCCCGGTGTGCGATGTTCCCCTCTCTGTGTCCATGTGTTCTCATTGTTCAGCTCCCACTTATGAGTGAGAGCATGCAGTGTTTGGTTTTCTTTTCCTGTTTTAGTTTGTTGAGGATGATGGCTTCCAGCTGCATCCATGTCCTTGCAAAGGACATGATCTCATTCCTTTTAATGGCTGCATAGTATTCCATGGTGTATATATACCACATTTACCGTATCCAGTCTATCACTGATGGGCATTTGGGTTGGTTCCTAGTCTTTTTTATGGTAAATAGTGCTGCAGTAAACATACATGTGCATGTGTCTTTATAGTAGAATGATTTATATTCCTTTGGATATATACCCAGTAATGGAATTGCTGGGTCAAATGGTATTTCTGGTTCTAGATCCTTGAGGAACTGCAACACTATCTCCCACAATGGTTGAACTAATTTACACTCCCACCAACAGCGTAAAAGTGTTCCTATTTCTCCACAGCCTCACCAACATCTATTATTTCCTGACTTTAATAATTGCCATTCTGACTGGTGTGAGATGGTATCTCATTGTGGTTTTTATTTGCATTTCTCTGATGATCAGTGATGTTGAACTTTTTTCCTATGTTTGTTGGCCACATAAATGTCTTCTTTTGAGAAGTGTCTGTTCATATCCTTTGCCCACTTTTTGATGGGGTTGTCATTTTCTTGTAAATATATTTAAGTTACTTGTAAATTCTGGATATTAGACCTTTGTCAGATGGGTAGATTGCAAAAATTTTCTCCCATTCTATAGGTTGCCTGTTCACGCTGATGATAGCTTCTTTTGCTGTGCAGAAGCTCTTTGGTGTAATTAGATCCCATTTGTAAATTTTGGCTTTTGTTTCAATTGATTTTAGCATTTTTGTCATGAAGACTTTGCCCATGCCTATGTCATGA
Source organism: Homo sapiens (assembly GCF_000001405.40). Taxonomy (NCBI): domain Eukaryota; kingdom Metazoa; phylum Chordata; class Mammalia; order Primates; family Hominidae; genus Homo; species Homo sapiens. Next base: position 52,839,788 of record NC_000010.11, read on the forward strand.
ATGGTATGGCCTAGGTTTTCTTCTAGGGTTTTTATGGTTTTTGGATTTTACATTTAAGTCTTTAAACCATCTTGAGTTAATTTTTGCATAAGGTGTAAGGAAGGGGTCCAGTTTCAGTTTTCTGCATATGGCTATCCAGTTTTCTCAGCACCATTTATTAAATAGGAAATCCTTTCCCCATTGTTTCTTTTTGTCAGGTTTGTTGAAGACCATATGGTCGTAGATATGATGTGTTACCTTTGAGGTCCCTGTTCTGCTCCATTGGTCTATGTGTTTGTTTTGGTACCAGTACCATGCTGTTTTGGTTACATGGTCTTGTAGTGTAGTTTGAAGTTGTCTTGGTTATATGCGGTCTTCTTTGATTCCACATGAAATTTAAAATAGGTGTTTTTTTAAGTTCCTTAGTGTTTATTTGTTCAAATTGAACATGGCTCAGGGAGATGGAGACTGGGACTTACTCAGTTACTGCAGGCTGACTGCTCTTGGTTTCTTCCATGTACCTAGTTGCCCCAAAGAAAGTGGGCAGCCTGGACACTTGCAGAGATATTCTGGGCTGCTAAATCATGAGGGTGAGACTCTCTTAATCCTTAACCATCTTCATTTCATTTCCCAAATTTTCAGATGCTTAGATGCCTGAATAAAGGTAAGGTTCGACATGCTGAAGATACCAACATGGCTAAGACTGTTCTCTGTCCTTGAGGATCTCATGGTCAAGCAGGAAGCAGACAGACAGGTTCATTTCTATGAATGGTTCAGCAGGACTAGCTCAAGATAGGACAACCGTGGGAAGAATAGAAAGGGAGACCACCAGATGGAAAAGGACTGTAGGAGGGTCCTCTTCTCCAGGTTATCCTGAGCGTGGCTCAGAAAGTCATAGGTCCTGCCCATCTGAGCCTCTAGAACTCCACCCAGATGCGAGGATGGAATAGGGCAGAAACGCAGCTGGTCTCCTTCACCTTTCTTGGAGGAGCATTCTTTTGGGAAAGTCACCTTCCCTTCCCACAAGTCCCCCCTGCCATTTCTACATAATACTTAGGCTTTCTGGCCCTAAGGCCTGCTGTGATTCTGTTGAAGGCCAATTGTCCCTCACCTCAACACTTGAACTAGAATTCTTTATTATTCTTCTTATTATTATTATACTTTAAGTTCTAGGGTACAAGTGCACAACATGCAGTTTTGATACATAGGTATACATGTGCCATGTTGGTTTGGTGCACCCATCAACTCGTCATTAACATTAGGTATTTCTCCTAATGCTATCCCTCCCCAAGCCCCCCACCCCACAACAGGCCTTGGTGTGTGATGTTCCCCACCCTGTGTCCAGGTGTTCTTATTGTTCAGTTCCCACCTATGAGTGAGAACATGCAGTGTTTGGTTTTGTCTTTGTGAAAGTTTGCTGAGAATGATGGTTTCCAGCTTCATCCATGTCCCTGCAAAGAACATTAACTAATTCTTTTTTATTGCTGCATAGTATTCCATGGTGTATATGTGCCACATTTTCTTAATCCAGTCTATCATTGTTGTACATTTGGGTTGGTTCCAAGCCTTTGCTATTGTGAATAGTGCCACAATAAACATACGTGTGCATGTGTCTTTATAGCAGCATGATTTTATAATCCTTTGGGTATATACTCAGTAATGGAATTGCTGGGTCAAATGGTATTTCTAGTACTAGATCCTTGAGGAATTGCCACACTGTCTTTCAAATGGTTGAAGTAATTTACATTCCCAGCAACAGTGTAAAAGTGTTCCTATTTCTCCACATCCTCTCCAACATCTGTTGTTTTCTGACTTTTTAATGATCGCCATTCTAACTGGCGTGAGACAGTATCTCACTGTGGTTTTGATTTGCGTTTCTCTGATGACCAGTGATGACGAGCATTTTTTCATGTGTCTGATGGTTGCATAAATGTCTTCTTTTGAGAAGTATCTGTTCATATCCTTTGCCCACTTTCTGATGGGGTTGTTTGTTTTTTTCTGGTAAATTTGTTTGAGTTCTTTGTAGATTCTGGATATTAGCCATTTGTCAGATGTTTAGATTGCAAAAATTTTCTCCCATTCTGTAGGTTGCCTGTTCACTCTGATGGTAGTTTCTTTTGCCGTGAAGGAGCTCTTTAGTTTAATTAGATCCCATTTGTCTATTTTGGCTTTTGTTACCATTGCTTTTGGTGTTTTAGTCATGAAGTCCTTGCCCGTACCTATGTCCTGAATGGTATTGCCTAGGTTTTCTTCTAGGATTTTTATGGTTTTAGGTCTAACGTTTATGTCTTTAATCAATCTTGAATTAATTTTTGTATAAGGTGTAAGGAAGGGATCCAGTTTCAGCTTTCTCCATATGGCTAGCCAGTTTTCCCAGCACCATTTATTAAACAGGGAATCCTTTCCCCATTTCTTGTTTTTGTCAGATTTATCAAAGATCAGATGGTTGCAGATGTGTGGTGTTATTTCTGAGTCCTCTGTTCTGTTCTATTGGTCTGTATATCTGTTTTGGTACCAGTACCATTCCGTTTTGGTTACTGTGCCCTTGTAGTATAGTTTGAAGTCAGGTAGTGTGATGCCTCTGGCTTTGTTCTTTTTGCTTAGGATTGTCTTGGCAATGCGGGCTCTTTTTTGGTTCCATATGAACTTTAAAGTAGTTTTTTTCCAATTCTGTGAAGATAGTCATTGGTAGCTTAATGGGGATGGCACTGAATCTATAAATTACCTTGGGCAGTATGGCCATTTTCACAATATTGATTCTTCCTATCCATGAGCATGGAATGTTCTTCCATTTGTTTGTGTCCTCTTTTATTTCATTGAGCAGTGGTTTGTAGTTCTCCTTGAAGAGGTCCTTCACATCCATTGTAAGTTGGGTTTATAGGTATTTTATTCTCTTTGAAGCAATTGTGAATGGGAGTTCACTCATGATTTGGCTCTCTGTTTGTCTGTTATTGGTGTATAGGAAGGCTTGTAATTTTTGCACATTGATTTTGTATCCTGAGACTTTGCTGACGTTGCTTATCAGCTTAAAGAGATTTTGGGCTGAGACGATGGGGTTTTCTAAATGTACAGTCATGTCATCTGCAAACAGGGACAATTTGATTTCCTCTTTTCCTAATTGAATACCCTTTATTTCTTTGTCTTGCCTGATTGGCCTGGCCAGAACTTCCAACACTATGTTGTATAGGAGTGCTGAGTGAGGGCATCCTTGTCTTGTGCCAGTTTTCAAAGGGAATGCTTCCAGTTTTTGCCCATTCACTATGATATTGGCTGTGGGTTTGTCATAAATAGATCTTATTATTTTGAGATACATCCCATCAATACGTAGTTTATTGAGAGCTTTTAGCATGAAGTGCTGTTGAATTTTGTTGAAGGCCTTTTCTGCATCTATTGAGATAATCATGTGGTTTTTGTCATTGCTTCTGTTTACGTGATGGATTTCATTTATTGATTTGCATACGTTGAACCAGCCTTGCATCCCAGGGATGAAGCTGACTTGACCATGGTGGATAAGCTTTTTGATGTGCTGCTGGATTCGGTGTGCCAGTATTTTATTGAGGATTTTTGCATCAATGTTCATCACGGATATTGGTCTAAAATTCTGTTTTTCTGTTGTGTCTCTGCCAGCCTTTGGTATCAGGATGATGCTGGCCTCATAAAATGAGTTAGGGAGGATTCCCTCTTTTTCTATTGATTGGAATAGTTTCAGAAGGAATGGTACCAGCTCCTCTTTGAACCTCTGGTAGAATTCAGCTGTGAATCCATCTGGTCCCAGACTTTTTTTGGTTTGTAGCCTATTAATTATTGCCTCAATTTCAGAGCCTATTATTGGTCTATTCAGAGATTCAAGTTCTTCCTGGTTTAGTCTTGGGACAATGTATGTGTTCAGGAATTTATCCACTTCTTCTAGATTTTCTAGTTTATTTGCATAGAGTTGTTTATAGTATTCTCTGATAGTAGTTTGTATTTCTGTGGGATCGGTGGTGATATTCCCTTTATCACTTTTTATTGTGTCTATTTGATTCTTCTCTCTTTTCTTCTTTATTAGTCTTGCTAGCAGTCTATCAATTTTGATGATCTTTTCAAAAAACCAGCTTCTGGATTCACTGATTTTTTTGAGGGGATTTTTGTGTCTCTATCTCTTTCAATTCTGCTCTGATCTTAGTTATTTCTTGCCTTCTGCTACCTTTTGAATTTGTTTGCTCTTGCTTCTCCAGTTCTTTAACTGTGATGTTAGGATGTCGGTTTTAGATCTTTCCTGCTTTCTCTTGGGGGCATTTGGTGCTATAAATTTCCCTCTACACACTGCTTTAAATGTGTCCCAGAGATTCTGGTATGTTGTGTCTTTGTTCTCATTGGTTTCAAAGAACATCTTTATTTCTGCTTTCATTTTGTTATTTAGCCAGTAGTCATTCAGGAGCAGGTTGTTCAGTTTCCATGTAGTTGAGAAGTTTTGATTGAGTTTCTTAATCCTGAGTTCTAATTTGATTGCACTGTGGTCTAAGAGACAGTTTGTTGTGATTTCTGTTCTTTTCCATTTGCTGAGGAGTGCTTTACTTCCAATTATGTGGTCAATTTTAGAATAAGTGTGATGTGGTGCTGAGAAGGATGTATATTCTATTGATTTGGGGTGGAGAGTTCTGTAGATGTCTATTAGGTCTACTTGGTGCAGAGCTGAGTTTAAGTCCTGGATATCCTTATTAACCTTCTGTCTCATTGATCTGTCTAATACTGACAGTGGGGTGTTAAAGTCTCCCATCATTATTGTGTGGGATCCTAAGTCTCTTTGTAGGTCTCTAAGGACTTGCATTATGAATCTGGGTGCTCCTGTATTGGGTGCATATATATTTAGGATAGTTAGCTCTTCTTGTTGAATTGATCCCTTTACCATTATGTAATGGCCTTCTTTGTCTCTTTTGATCTTTGTTGGTTTAAAGTCTGTTTTATCAGAGACTAGGATTGCAACCCCTGATTTTTTTCTTTGCTTTCCATTTGCTTGGTAGGTCTTCCTGCATCCCTTTATTTTGAGCTTATGTGTGTCTCTGCAAGTGAGATGGGTCTCCTGAATACAGGACACTGATGGGTCTTTGCTGTTTATCCAATTTGCCAGTCTGTGTCTTTTAATTGGGGCATTTAGCTCATTTACACTTAAGGTTAATATTGTTATGTGTGAATTTGATCCTGTCATTATGATGTTAGCTGGTTGTTTTGCCCGTTAATTGATGCAGTTTCTTTATAGCATCGATGGTCTTTACAATTTGGCATGTTTTTGCAGTGGCTGGTACCAGTTGTTTCTTTCCATATTTAGTGCTTCCTTCAGGAGCTCTTGTAAGGCAGGCCTGGGCATGACAAAATCTCTCTGCATTTGCTTGTCTGTAAAGGATTTTATTTCTCCTTCACTTATGAAGCTTAGTTTGGCTGGATATGAAATTCTGGGTTGAAAATTCTTTTCCTTAAGAAAGTTGAATATTGGCCCCATTCTTTTGTGGCTTGTAGGGTTTCTGCTGAGAGATCTGCTGTTAATCTGATGGGCTTCCCTTTGTGGGTAACCCAACCTTTCTCTCTGGCTGCCCTTTACATTTTTTCCTTCATTTCAACTTTGGTGAATCTGACAATTATGTGTCTTGGGGTTGATCTTCTCGAGGAGTATCTTTGTGGTATTCTCTGTATTTCCTGAATTTGAATGTTGGCCTGCCTTGCTAGGTTGGGGGAATTCTCCTGGATAATATCCTGAAGAGTGTTTTCCAGCTTGGTTCCATTCTCCCCATCACTTTCAGGTACACATATCAAATGTAGATTTGGTCTTTTCACATAGTGCCATATTTCTTGGAGGCTTTGTTCATTTCTTTTTACTCTTTTTTTCTCTAACCTTGTCTTCTCGCTTTATTTCATTAATTTGATCTTCAATCACTGATACCCTTTCTTCCACTTGATCGAATCAGCTATTGAAGCTTGTGCATGCATCACAAAGTTCTTGTGCCGTGGTTTTCACCTCCATCATGTCATTTAAGGTCTTTTCTTCACTGTTTATTCTAGTTAGCCATTCATCTAACCTTTTTTCAAGGTTGTTAGCTTTCTTGCGATGGATTCGAACATGCTTCTTTAGCTCAGAGAAGTTTGTTATTACCAACCTTCTGAAGCCTTCTTCTCTCAACTTGTCAAAGTCATTCTCCATCCAGCTTTGTTCCATTGCTGGCAAGGAGCTGTGATCCTTTGAAGGAGAAGAGACACTCTGGTTTTTAAAATTTTCAGCTTTTCTTCTCTGGATTCTCCTCATCTTTGTGGTTTTATCTACCTTTGGTTTTTGATGTTCATGACCTACAGATGGGGTTTTGGTGTAGATGTCCTTTTTGTTGATGTTGATGCTATTCCTTTCTGTTTGTTAGTTTTCCTTCTAACAGTCAGGTCCCTCAGCTGCAGGTCTGTTGGAGTTTGCTGGAGGTCCACTCCAGACCCTGTTTGCCTGGGTATCACCAGCGGAGGCTGCAGAACAGCAATATGGCTGCCTGATCCTTCTTCTGGAAGCTTCATCCCAGGGGGCACCCGCCTATAGGAGGGGTCTGTCGGCCCCTACTGGGAGATGCCTCCCAATTAGGCTACACAGGCATCAGGGACACACTTGAGGAGGCAGTCTGTAGTGAGCAAGGCTCTGTGGGTGTGGGGCCCACCAAGCCAGGCATGGGAGAGAATCTCCTTGTCTGCTGGTTGCTAAGATCTTGGGAACAGTGCATTATTTGGGCGGGAGTGTCCTGTTTTTCCAGGTAGAGTCTGTCACAGAGTCCCTTGGCTAGGAAAGGGAAATCCCCTGACCCCTTTCGCTTCCCGGGTAAGGTGATGCCCTGCCCTGCTTCGGCTTGCCCTCCGTGGGCTGCAACCATTGTCCAACCAGTTCCAATGAGATGAACCAGGTACCTCAGTTGGAAATGCAGAAATCACCTGTATTCTGCATTGATCACACTGGGAGCTGCAGACTGGAGCTGTTCCCATTCGGCCATATTGGAACGCACCTCCTAAAATAGTTTTTTCTAATTCTGTGAAGAATGTCAATGGTAGTTTGATGGGAATACTATTGAATATCAAGTTACTTTGGGTGTTATAGCCATTTTTACAATATTGATTCTCTTATCCATGAGGATGGAACGTTTTTCCATTTGTTTGTGCTCTCTCTTATTTCCTTCAGCAGTGGTTTGTAGTTCTCCTTGAAGAGGTCCTTCATATCCCTTGTTAGCTGCATTCCTAGGTATTTTATTCTCTTTGTAGCAATTGTGAATGGAAGCTCATTCATGATTTGGCTCTCTGCTTGCCTATTTTGGGTATAAACGGATGCTTGTAATTTTGCACATTGATTTTGCATCCTGAGACTTTGCTGAAGTTGCTTATCAGTTCAAGGAGTTTTGGGGCTGAGATGATGGGGTTTTCTAAATATAAAATCATGTTGTCTGTAAACAGACTATTTTACTTCCTCTCTTCCTATTGGAATACTTTTATTTCTTTCTCTTGCCTGACTGCCCTGGTCAGAACTTCCAATACTATGATGACTAGTAGTGTGAGAGAGGGCAGCCTTGTCTTGTACCAGTTTTCAAAGGGAATGCTTCAACTTTTGCCCATTCAATATGATATTGGCTGTGGGTTTGTCATAAATAGTACTTATTATTTTGAGATACATTCCATCAGTACCTAGTTTATTGAGAGTTTTTAACATAAAAGGATGTTGAATTTTATCAAAGGCCTTTTCTTCATCTATTGAGAAAATCATGTGGTTTTTGTCTTTGCTTCTGTTTATATGATGGATTATTTTTATGGATTTGCATATGTTGAACAAGCCTTGCATCCCAGGGATGTAGCCAACTTGATCATGGTGTGTAAGCTTCTTGATGTGCTGCTGGGTTTGGTTTCCAGTATTTTATTGAGGATTTTTGCATCAATGTTCATCAGGGATGTCGGTCTGAAGTTTTCTTTTTTTGTTGAGTCTCTTCCTGGTTTTGGTATCAGGATGATGCTGGCTTCATAAAATGAGTTAGGGAGGAGTCTTTCCTTTTCAATTGTTTAGAATAGTTTCAGAAGGAATGGTACCAGCTCCTGTTTGCATTTCTGGTAAAATTCAGCTGTGAATCCATCTGGTCCTGGGTGTTTTTTTGGTTGGTAGGCTATTAATTACTGCCTCAATTTCAGAACTTGTTATTGGTCTATTTAGGGATTTGACTTCTTCCTGGTTTAGTCTTTGAAGGGTGTATGTGTCCAGGAATTTATCCATTTCTTCTAGATTTTCTAGTTTATTTGTGTAGAGTTGTTTATAGTGTTCTCTAGTGGTAGTGTATATTACTTTAAGGTCAGTGGTGATATCCAATTTATTATTTTTTATTGTATCTATTTGATTCTTCTCTCTTTTCTTCTTTATTAGTCTAGCTAGCTGTCTATTCTGTTAATTTTTTCAAAAAAACAGCTCCTAATTCTCTTTTTTTTTTTTAGTGCTTTTCATGTCTCTACCTCCTTCAATTCTCTGATCTTAGTTATTTCTTGTCTTCTGCTAGCTTTTGGATTAGTTTGCTCTTGCCTCTCTAGCTCTTTTAATTGTGACATTAGGGTGTTAATTTGATATCTTTCTAGCGTTCTGATGTGGGAATTTAGTGCTATAAATTTCCTTCTTAACACTGCTTTTGCTGTGTCCCAGAGATTCTGGTATGTTGTCTCTTTGTTCTTATTGGTTTCAAACCACTTCTTGATTTATGCCTTAATTTCATTATTTACCCAGGTGTCATTAAGGAGCAGGTTGTCCAATTTCCATGTAATTGTGTGGTTTTGAGTGAGTTTCTTAATCCTGAGTTCTAATTTGATTGCACTGTGGTCTGAGAGACTCTTTGTTATGATTTCCATTCTTTTGCATTTGCTGAGGAGGGTTTTACTTCCAATTATGTGGTCAATTTTAGAATAGGTGCCATGTGGCACTGAGAAGAATGTATTTTCTATTGATTTGGGGTAGGGAGTTCTGTAGATGTCTACTAGGTCCACTTGATCCAGAGCTGAGTTCAAGCCCTGAATATCCTTGTTAATTTTCTGTCTTGTTGATCTAATACTGACAGTGGGTTGTTAAAGTCTCCCACTATTATTGTGTGGGAGTCTAAGTCTCTTTGTAGGTCTCTAAGAACTTGTTTTATGAATCTGGGTGCTCCTGTATTGGGTGCATATATATTTAGAATAGTTAGCCCCTTATGTTGAATTGTTCCCTTTACAATTAGGTAATGCCTTTCTTTGTCTTTTTTGATCTTTATTGGTTTAAAGTCTGTTTTGTCAGAGACTAGGATTGCAACCTCTGCTTTTTTTTTTCTCTCTCTCCATTTTCTTGGTAAATTTTCCTCCATTCCTTTATTTCGAGCCTATGTGTGTCTTTGCATGTAAGGTGGGTCTCCTGAATACAGCACATCAGTGGGTCTTGACTCGTTATCCAATTTGCCAGTCTGTGTCTTTTAATTGGGGCATTTAGCCCATTTACATTTAAGGTTAATATTGTTTTCTGTTTGTTTGTGTTTGTGTGTGTGTGTGTGTGTGTGTGTGTGTGTGTGTGTGTTTGAGACAGACTCTCGCTCTTTCGCCCAGGCCAGAGTGCAGTGGCGCAATCTCGGCTCACTGCAAGCTCCACCTCCCAGGTTCACACCATTCTCCTGCCTCTGCCTCCTGAGTAGGTGGGACTACAGGTGCCCGCCACCGCGCCCGGCTAATTTTTTGTATTTTTAGTAGAGATGGGGTTTCACCATGTTAGCCAGGATGGTCTCGATCTCCTGATCTCATGATCCACCCGCCTCAGCCTCCCAAAGTGCTGGGATTATAGGCATGAGCCACTGCGACCGGCCAAGGTTAGTATTGTTATGTGTGAATTTGATCCTGTCATCAAGATGCTATTTGGTTATTTTGCAAACTAGTTGATGCGGTTTCTTCATAGTGTCATTGGTCCTTATATTTTGGTGTGTTTTTGCAGTGGCTGGTACTGGTTTTGCCTTTCCATATTTAGTGCTTCTTTCAGGAGCTCTTGCAGGGCAAGGCTGGTGGTAATGAAATCCGTCAGCATTTGCTTGTCTGGAAAAAATTTTATTAATCCTTCACTTATGAAGCTTAGTTTGGCTGGATGTGAAATTCTGGGTTGAAAAGTCTTTTCTTTAAGAATGTTGAATATTAGCTCCCAGTCTCTTCTGGCTTGTAGTATTTCTGCTGAGAGGTCTGCTGTTAGTCTGATGGGCTTCCCTTAGTAGGTGACCTGGCCTTTCTCTCTGGCTTCCCTTAACAGTTTTTCCTTGCTTTCAACCTTGAAGAATCTGATGATTATGTGTCTTGGAGGTGATCTTCTCATGGAGTATCTTAATGGTATTCTCTGTATTTCCTGAATTTGCATGTTGGCCTGTCTGGCTAGCTTGGGGAAGTTCTCCTGGATCATATCCTGAAGTGCATATTCCAGCTTGTTTCCATTCTCCCCGTCTCCTTCTGGTACTCCAATCAATCATAGGTTTGGTCTTTTTATGAGGTCCCATATTTCTTGGAGATTTTCTTCATTCCTTTTCATTCTTTTTTCTCTCTTCTTGTCTGCATGTCTTATTTCAGCAAGGTGGTCTTCAAACTCTGTTATTCTTTCTTCTTCTTGGTCGGGTCTGCTATTGATACTTGTGTATGCTTCACAAAGTTATCATGCTATGTTTTTCAGCTCCATTAGGTCGCTTATATTCTTCTCTAATTTGGTTATTCTAGTTAGCAATTCCTATAACTTTTTATCAAGGTTCTTAACTTCTTTGCATTGGTTTAGAACATGCTCCTTTTGCTCAACATAGTTTTTTATTACCCATATCCTGAAGCCTACTTCTGTCAATTCATCCATCTGATCTTCCATACATTTCTGCACCCCTGATGGAGAGACGTTGCGATCATTGGAGAAGAGGCACTCTGGTCTTTTGTGTTTTCAGCATTTTTTTCATTAATTCTTTCTCATCTTTGTGAGTTTGTCTAGTTTTGGTCTTTGAGGCTGCTGACCCTTGGATGGGGTTTTTTTGGGAACCTTTTTTGTTGTTGTTGATGCTGCTGTTGTTGCTTTATGCTTGTTTGTTTTTCTTTCAATAGGTCCTTCTTCTGTAGGGCCACTGCAGTTTGCTGGGGGTTCACTTCAGGGCCTATTCATCTGATTTGCTCCCGCGCCTGGAGATGTCACTCAAGGAGGCTGGAGAACAGCAAAGATGGGTGCCTCCACCTTCTTCTGGGACCTCTGACCTCAAAGGGAACAAACCTGATGACACTAGGATTGTTTCTGTATAGGGTGTCTGACAACCCCTGTTGGAGGGTCCCACCCAGTTGGGTGGCATGGGGAACAGAACGCATTAAATGAAGCACTTTGTTCCTTGGTTGAAGGGGTGTGCTTTGCTGGGGAAAACCCACTCATCGGGGCTAACCAGATTCCTCAGAACTACCAGGAGGTGAAGCTAAGTCTGCTGGTCCACAGAGACTGTGGTCACCCCTCCCCCTAGGGGCTCAGGCCCAGGGAGATCTGGATTTTGTCATGGAGCCTCTGAGTGGAGTTATTGGAGTTCCTGCAGGGAAACCCCACCCACTGAAGAAGGATGAGTGAAATTTAGGCCTGAAGAGGCACTCTGGCCACAGACTACCACAGCTGGTGTGTTGGGCTGTGGGGACAAGTCTTGGGACCAAGCCGTCCAGCCCCCCCAGCTCTAGCAGGGAAAAAGCACAGCCTGGAGCTATGGAGATGGGTGCCACCATTTCCCAACCCAGTGAGCTTAGTGCATTAGGCAGTTGCGAGTCCCAGTGTTGGCTGCTGCTCCTCTCACAAGGAGCTCAAAGGGCTTAGACAGTAGGCAGCCACAGCCAGTGCTGGTCACCCCTCACCTCAGGAGTTTGGTAGGCTTAAGCACATTCCAGCCAAGAGGCACTAAGCATTTGTGCATTCTGGGTCTGGGACACTAGGCCCCGGTGGCATGGGTTTGCAAGTGGGATCTTCCAGTCCATGGGTTGCACAGTTCTGCAGAAAAAGCACAGTTCCCTCAGCTGGGTAGCATGCTCACTTGCCACCTCCCTTGGCTTGGGGGAAGGGGGGTTCCCCTGCCTTATGTGGCTCTCAGGTGGGCCACTGCACCACACTGTTCTTCCTTCTCTCTGAGGGTCATGCCAGCCTTCTAGTCAATTTTGATGAGAGAACCTGGATACCTCAGTTGCTGGTGATGGATTCACCCACTTATAATTTTTTTCGATGGAAGCCTCAGAATGCCACTGCTTCTAGTCAGCCATATTGGCCCCGCTTCTAAGTGCATTTTAAGGGAAGGCATGCTGAGTCTTCACGAAATGATTTCACCTCTGTGACAATCATTTGACTCTGCAACAGCTGGAGGTAGAAAAACCACTTAATGACAAGAGCTGCTGAAAATTATTTGATAATATTAGAAAACATTACTTAGAAGAATAAAAAATGAGTTTAGCAATAATATTAAGTTTTGACATTATCAAAACTTAGAGATCTTGACATTTAGCATGTATATTTTATAATGAGTAACTTCCTCTTCCTGAAGGTGGTAGTCACAGCAACAAAAAGTGAAAAGGCACTAAATAGCAAGATAGGCACTGACTGGCAATGCAGGCACTATCTAGCAAGGTAGGCACTAATTAGCAATTTATTATCAATCTCTTATCCTCATTCATAAAATAGGTGCATAGTTGACATAGTCTTAAGGTCCCTATAAATTGAATTATTCTATAATTCTATATTTTGGAATTTGACAACCTCATTTTTATCTCCTATAATTTTTAGTCCCCACAAACAATGACAAAAAAGTACATAAAAGGATATCACCTAGAGGCTGGTTCATTGGTAATGGGTTATCAGAACTTACTAACATTAGTGTCACTAAAGTTGGTATACAGCCCTTTCACTGCTAAATTTGTCTGGCTTAAAAAAAAACGATATTACTTAGAGATGATAAAATCGTCTAAATAATAAGTTCCTGAAGAATGGGAAGAAAAATTGGTGAGTTGGATATAGGAGAAGGAAAAAAAATTATTGCTTTTTAAAATCCTTTGCAACAAAGATTTATCACAAAGACTGCTGCTGAGGAAAATGAAGAAGTAAAAATAAGAGCCTATCTGTGGCACAGATGGTTATTATTATTGTAACTAACAAATTTGCAAAAGAAAAAACACACACACAAAAGACCAACTTTTGTTGCCCAAATAAAACAAAATTTGACCAAACAAAGCAACAACAGAAATGAAAAACCTCACATTCCTTAATTTTCCCCCCCTAAGCAAGGGGCTTGACTTTAGAAAGTAAATTTATTCAATTCTTGGGGACAACAATAATGAAATAAATATTTTGCTTGCTGCTTAGAACATCATCAAGTTATAACTAGAACAGAGGTGTTTCTGTTTGATCCTAATTTGGCTTCTGTTCATCTTTAATCAAAAGAGAAGCAAACAAGAAAACTGTTAAACATAATTTAGAAATAGAAATGATCAAGGACAAGAAAATAAAAAATTATTTATTATGACACCACCCTAATGTAAGCAATGTTATATGTAGATATCTATTTAGTAAATTGTTATTTACAAAACAAATTTTATTGTACTTAAATAGACACAGTTTTATAACTTTTTTCTACTTCTTATAGCATAAATGTTTTTATATCATCAAATATCATTCTACTATACAGTAGAATAATGCTTTATCACTCTTTGCAGATACTGTGTTTTTTACAAATTGAAGGTTTGTGGCAATCTTGCATCCAGCAAATCTTGACATCATTTTTCTATTTAACAGCATGTGCTCACTTTGTGTTTCTGTGTCACATCTTGGTAATCCTTGTAATATTTCAAACTTTTTCATTACTATATCTGATATGGTGACCTGTGATTAGTGATCTTTGATGTTATTATTTTAATTGTTTTGGGATGCCACAAATTGTGTCCATGTTAAGATGGCGAACTTAATCAATATGTGCTCTGCCTTTTCCACTGACTGGCTATTTCTCAGTTTCTCTCCCTCTCTTCAGGCTCCCTGTTCCCCGAGGCACAAAAATATCAAAATTAGACCAATTATTAACCTACAGTGACCTCTAAGTGTTCAAATAAAAGGAAGAGTCATACCCTCCTCATTTGAAATCGAAAGCTAGAAATGATTAAGCTTAGTGAGGAAGGCACGTTGAAAACCAAGATAGGCCAAAAGCTAGGCTTCTTAAGCCAAATGGTTAGCCAGTTGTGAATTCAAAGGGAGAGTTCTTGAAGGAAATTAAGTGCTACTCCTGTGAAGACATAAATGATAGAATTATAAGAAAGTGAAACTGCCTTATTGGATATATGGAAAAAGTTTGAGTAGTCATCATAGAAGATCAAAGTAGCCACAACATTCTCTTAAGCCAAAGCCCAATCCAGAACAAGGCCCTAACTCTCTTCAATTCTATGAAGACTAAAAAAGTAAGGAAGCTGCAGAAGAAAAGTTTGAAGCTAGCATAGATTGGTTTTTAAGAAGCCATCCCCATAACAAAAAAGTGGCAGCAAATGCTGATATTCAGAAGATCTAGCTAATGTAATTGATGAAGGTTGCTACACTAAACAATGTATTTTCAGTGTAGAAGAGACAGCCTTCTCTTGGAAGAAAATGCTGTCTAGGACTTTTCACAACTAGAAAGAAGTCAATACCTGGCTTCAAATCTTCAAGGACACCCTGACTCTCTTTTTAGGGGCTAATGCAGCTGGTGACTTTAGTTGAAGCCAATGCTCATTTACCATTAGAAAAATCTTAAAGCCCTTGAAAATTATGCTAAATCAACTTTGCCTGTGCTGTATTAAGACAACATCAAAGCCTAGATGATACCACATCTGTTTGCAGCATGGTTACTGTGTATTTTAAGCTCACTATTGAGATCTACTGCTTGGAAAAAAGATTTCTTTCAAACTATTGTACTCACTGACAATGCACCTCATCACCCAAGAATTCTGATAGAGATGTAAAAGGAGATTAATGTGTTTTCATGCCTGCTAACACAGCATCCATTCTGTAGCCCACAAATCAAAGTTTCAAGCCTTTTTTTATTTTTTAGACAGAGTCTCGCTCTGCCGCCCAGGCTGGAGTGCAGTGCAGTGGTGCGATATTGGCTCACTGCAACCTCTGCCTCCCGGATTCAAGCAACTCTCCTGCCTCAGCCACCCAAGTAGTTGGGATTACAGGCATATGCCACCATGCCGACCTAATTTTTGTATTTTTAGTAGAGATGGGGATTCACCATGATGGCCAGGCTGATCTGGAACTCCTGGCCTTAAGTGATCCACCTGCCCGGGCTTCCCAAAGTGCTGGGATTACAGGCATGAGCCACTGAGTCCTGCCAAACTTTCTTTCAAGTCTTATTATTTAAGAAATACATTTTTTAAGGCTATAGTTACCATAGATTGTGACTGATTTGGGCAAAGTTAATTGAAAACCTTCTGGAAAGGATTTACCTTTCTAGACACCATTTAAGAGCATTTGTGGTGCACTGAAGGAGGTCAAAATATCAACAATAACCAGAGTTTGGAGGATGTTAATTCCAACCTTAATGGATAACTTTGAGGGGTGAAGACTTCAGTGCAGATATGGTGAAAATAGCAAGAGAACCGCAATTAGAAGTGCAACCTGAAAATGTGACTGATTTGCTGCAGTCTCACAACAAAACTTGCATGAATGAAGAGTTACTTCTTGCAGAAGAACAAAGAAAGTAATTTCTGGAAAGCAAATCTATGCAAGTTTTACCATATCTGCACTGAAGTCTTGCAGGAGGCTGCAAATATTGTTGAAATGACAACAAAGGATTTAGAATATTACATAAACTTAGTTGATAAAAGTTGTCAGGTTTCAGAGGATAGACTCCAATTTTGAAAGAAGTTCTACTGTGGGTAAAATGCTAACAAACAGCATCACATGTCCAGGTGCAGTGGCTCACTTCTGTAATCCCAGCACTTTGGGAGGCCAAGGCAGCTAGGTAACTTGAGCTCAGCAGTTTGAGACCAGCTGGGCAACATAGAGAAACCCTGTCTCTACAAAAAATACAAAAATTAGCCAGGTGTGGTGGTGTGCTCCTGTAGTCCCAGCTACTTGGGAGGTTGAGTTGGGAGGATGGCTTGAGCCCAGGAGGCAGAGGTTGCATTGTGCCACTGCACTCTAGCCTGGGTAACAGAGCCAGACCCTGTCTCGAAAAAAAAAAAAAAAAAAAAACCAAAACAAATAAATATAAAAACCACAGCATCACATCACATGCTACAAAGAAATCTTTCATAAAAGGAAGAGTCAATGGATGTGCTGTACTTTATGTGTTTTATTTAAAGAAATTGCCACAGCTGCCCCAACCTTCAGCAACCACCATCCTGATTAATCAGCAGTTGTCAACATCAAGTCTCAGTTCCCTTTCAACATGCCAGTCTCATAAAAGCTCAATCTTAAATAAATCCAGCACCATTACTAAACTAAGTGTGATGAATCCTGCTTGTGAAAATTGCATAATTGTGTTGATTTCTGTTCTGACAAATTCATAGCCTCCAACCTCAACAAGAAAAGACCCTCCACCAGCAGAAAAATCATGATTTGCTGAAGGTTCACATAATTGTTAGCACTTTCTAGCAATAAAATATTTGAAAATTATGTATATACATTGTTTTTTAAGATACAATGCTACTGCATACTTAATAGATTACAGTATAGTGTAAAAATAACTTTTATATATACTGGGAAACAAAAAACATTAATGTGACTCAGTTTATGGTGATAGTTTAGAATTGAACCCATAGTGTTTCTGAGGTATGCCTGGATCTATTACTGGCTACAAGGTATTCCATTGTGGGGGACTACCAAAACATATTGAGATATTTGTACTTATTGACCATTCAATTTTCTGCTATTTTCCCATATATCATCCCTTTATTTTTTTCTGTCAACAATTATTTATTGAGCATGTATTATGTTCCAGGCATTGTGGATAATGATGGAGAAATCATGGAGAACAAGACAAACAAAGACCCTATCTATGGAACTGCAGTCTAGTGGAAGAAAGTATAAATCTCTAACTCATCATATCTGAAACTTATTATCATCTCCTCCAACACACTCCCTCTGAATTCTCATGAGTCATGTAGACTTTTGAAGTCAAGCTGAACTCTTTCCTTTTCCTCACTCCTGATGGCAAAAAATTCACTAATTGTATCAATTATTATTTGTATTACAAATCTTATCTACGAATTTTGTGAAATTTTATTACCCAGTCCCTTTATTTCTATTCAGAGTAGACACTGTATGTAAGTTTTTAAGCCCCAGTTCCCTTTCAGCATGCCACTCCCATAAAAGCTCAATCTTAAATCAATCCAGCACCACTGCTAAACTAAGTGTGATGAAACCTGCTTGTAAAAATTGCATAATTGTGTTGATTTCTGTTCTGATAAATTAATGGCTTCCAACCTCATTTAGGACGTCCCTGCTACCAAGGTATCTCTTTGTCAGTAACCCGTTTCCTTTTCTGTTTCTCAACACAGCTATTCTAAAAAATACAACTCTTCCTTGAACGATACTTTATTCTCCCCCAGAACAGGATAACTCTTGGGGACACAGAACAAAATGAGAGAAGTAAAGGCAATAGAGTTCATCAAATAGAACTTGTTCTCTTTATGACTTGTACTCTTGTATTCTTGTACTCTTTATGACTATTTAGACACATCTGAATTCAGATTTTTTTCTTAAGTTCTCATCTCAGGGAGTATGGGGAAATTAATAGATAAATACTTCATAAAGTGAAATTAACAGACATATATCCCAATAACAGGGAATTTGCTTTCTTTGCAAACACTCAAGAAATAGTCTCCTAAATGTTAACATTGAAACCCCATAATACTGTCTTTCCTGATAATATTGTAATAAAACTATAAGTTGAGAATAAAAACAAGTAAAATATCATCATTTTAAAATTTTCAAAATTACACATTGAAAAAATGAAATTATAAAATATTTAGAAATAAAAATAGTGAAACAGTACATAGCAACATTTTTGAGATAAAGTTGTACTCAGAGGAAAACTCAGTTTTAAACATTAACAATAATAAATAAAGATAAATAATAAATAATGAGGAAAAAATAAACATTCTAACGGAAGGTTGGAAAAAGAAGAATAACAGATTTCAGCTGGGCAATGGGTTGACGGTAAGCAACCACACATTTAAGCATACAGTTTAACTTATTTGGTGTGAGTAGTCAATTATACCTAATGCAACATACTTGAGGTGGGCACATAGATCAAGAAGAAAAGCAGCACTTTTTGATGCATTTTTTTCTTGTCCCTACTTTTTGTACAAGGTTTTTACACTGGTGATACTTTTTATGCAGTCAACACCTTTAAAGGGTTGAGAAAAACAGCTAAATTTTTGCTGAGTTACCTTCTTTATATCCTCAGGTCTTCATATCCATCCTGGAAGTGCTTGTACAACCAGTATAAGTGCTTCTGCTTGGAGGAATGTTTAAAAGTATCGGGATAACTCAGTCATGTCTTGATCGGTAAAGAAAGCTGTACATATCTAAGTATCCCTGATTAACATGTCTAATAATAGGCCTGGAGCCACCTCTTTAGTGTTCATGAAAGCTGCTCTCCATATAACTACAAGAAAAATCAGGAAATAATAGCAATAAACATGAAAATTAATTACTTGAAAAATAGAAAACTAAAATTGATCATTGGTTTTATAAAAGAGCCAATAAAACAGTGTAGCCTAATCAAGAAAAAAGAAAACTGGGAAATAAAGACAGTGGAGAAAACATAATATCTGAAATGTTTAAATGGGGCTATGGCTGTAACTAAGAATTGTGAAGTTTATTTTTTTTTTCTTCTACTTTATTGTCCAACTCCCTCCACTTCCTGGACACCCATACTTTGCCAGTATTTGCTTTCTCAGCTTCTCAAGAGCTTATTTTCTGTAAGCAGGTTGTATCTATGTATTAGCTCAGATAAGAAGTTATCTTGTACTCAGTAAATCTATGGAATGAGGTACTGTCGCTGGGCTTCCCTCAGTTACCTGGAAAGAGAGGAACATGGTGAAAACAATTGTCCTTCCAGTTAATCGTCCTTCCAGCTTAATGCTCCAGGCTACTTCTGCCACATTGGGCCTAAGAGCTAATTATAGGTGCTCATTGTGCTTGTTCAGACTATGTCCTGTGGCTTAAGTCATGTACAGAACAAGAACCTCAAATTATGGTAGCATTGTCCATTTGCTTGCTGTTGATTTCCTTTTCTCCAAAGACCTGAGAAAGAGTGGAGTTGAAGAGAATCAGTGCAGATTTTCTGGTGGCAAAGTTTACTCATTTATGTCATATTCATCTGTCTTCCCCCATTTAACAATTTTAATTTATATGGTTTTATGAAATCCATTATGTATCCCTAATTTTAGCACCAAGAAATTAAATCTCCTGACTTATAGCCCATTGCTTTTTTATTTATGTTTTAGAGAATTAGGACTGAAGACCAGAGAAAATCTTTGTATTCCTTGGCAGATCCTAAATGTATTAAGAGTATTATTTTAAAAGCAGGTAGTTATTAAAGTGTGCAAAACTCTGAGACAGGAATAATTCAAAAGGTTTGAAAGCCATCTGTTTTATTCTGTACTTAACAATAACATTAATTAATAATCCGCCATAACCTTCATTGCTTTTTCAGCTTTTGGCTGTTGAAGTCCTTTTCACTGAAATATTTTAAGCATCAGAGCAGGGGAGACTATGCACCTGAATTAGGAAGAACAGATAGTCTGCGGGTCTTCATAGTCCACCCCTGTGAGCATGGCCATAGATGACTCCCCAATGTCCAGATGACCTCCTCTTGAGAAGTCAATCTAGTTGAAAATAATGGCATCAAGTGGAAACATTTTTGTTATATTTACAAATAAAAATATTCCAGTGTGGCAAGCAGGCAAAATCCTTATGATGTCAAATAGAGCTGAATAGACTGAAGTGACTCCTGTGTTTCTGTTTCCTTCCATTATTTTAATTTATGTAAATTGGCTTGTGAAAATTGAATACCTGAACTTTGTGGCACCATGATCTCCTACTAATATTAAATCAAGTTCATGAATTCCTAGATGAAGGAAGCCTCTTCACACAATTAATGGCCAAGATATTATTGGGCTGAAGAAAGACTATCCAAAGGTTTCCTGATATACCACTGTAAGATGCTATCTTCTGATCTAATTTAATGTAGCTCAACAAACAATGATAGGGCAGAGTATTTGAGCCTAATGCTGAGCCTAATGCTGGCTAATCCAGAATAATAGCCATGATGTAATTTAGCTGTTAGAGGTAAGTGTAACACAGAAAAAATCATGTTTTCACATAATTGGGTAATTCATTATCAGTTGGATTCCAAAAAGAAAGTGGGTGCTCTCATACCAGAAAACATAGGCAGAAAAGGGCTGCAATTTCAAACAAGAGAAAATATGTCATTCCAGTACTAGCAAGTAAGTAGGTGTTTTACTTTTAAAGGCATAGTAGGGGGATAAAAATCACTGTAGGAACTAAAGTGAAAGAGGGCTTCACGTATCTGTAGTGTACAGACAGAGTAGTAGGGACTGAACAAACAAATATTCTCCACATATCAAATAGCACTAAAAAAAAGAAACGATAGAACACAATGATAATTAGAGTGAGATAGGAAAGAGCAAATATTCAGACCAGATTGGAGAAGATCTACACTGATAATCTTCATTGAAAAGGAGCTCAAGGTTGATGTCATTGTCATATTCATTACCACACATTATCATCATTTTACAGTATTAAGTGCTTAGTGTGAGTTAGTTCTATGCTAATTGATTTATTTTACTTAGCTTTTCCAATAAGAGTATGAGGTAGGTTCTGTTATGTCCATTCTATAGATGAGAAAATTGGGAAGGCAAACTGCTTTGCTCAAGCTCATGCTAATGTGTGTTACTCAATGAACCTCTGTTTGAATTCATTTATCTTAATCTCCTCACTACGTGGCATTACCCATCTAATCCTCATCTACTCATTATTTCCCTGCAATTATATACATTTATGTTTAATTACACACAATTCTGATGTCACATTAGATTCAGCTCTTCCCAAAGTATTCTGAGTTAAAATAAACTTCATAAAATTCAGGGTTAAAAATTATCTATCCAGGTATA
The DNA here is from genome assembly GCF_000001405.40 of Homo sapiens. NCBI lineage: Eukaryota > Metazoa > Chordata > Mammalia > Primates > Hominidae > Homo > Homo sapiens. The sequence goes on from NC_000010.11 coordinate 52,860,944, forward strand.
GTTATGAATAGACATCCATACTGAATGGAGTCATTCTGTCTATTTTGGTTAAAATGTTGGTATTTAGACTTAGTACAAACCATTCCTTCACAAAAACTTCTGTTAAGAACAGTTCATTCTATCTGAGTAGGCTTCTCCTGTCATATTTAATATCATAATTTAAAGTCTCTCTTCAGTCACACAAAAATCCTCCTAGTGCAAGCATATAAACTCAGCCACTGAGAAATCTGTTCTGTTGAAGCAATGCAAAAGACTTTTAAGGTCAAAATACATTTAACATCTTCAGTCCTTTTCTTTTTGCTGGTTCTTTCAAACTGATATGAATAGTCCTTTGTGCTCTGGGTTCTCTGAAAAGAAAAAACTGGTTTTATTAAAATCACTGTGATGGCATGGTCAGTGACACATCAGCTATGACATAGCTAGCCTGCTGTTCTTCTATATAGAATGCTGCCACTAGGTTTTTGGTCATCATTTTCTTCCAAAAATTTCTCTCCCACTGAGTCAGAAAAATGAATTCTTACTGTTTGTTTTGTTGGAAAGAAAGAAAAGTCCCAAATGATTGTCAGATGTCAAGTACATCATTTACATGTGGCTTTATTTGAATGCTTATTGCTGGGCCTCTATATGGAACCTGGAGATGGCTCTCTGATGAAGTAGATCTTCTCCTCCTTTTGTGATTTTTTTGTGCTTTGCATCCAAAGATCATTAAAAACATTTTTCTTTCAGTCAGAAGATATTTTTTCTTTTAAACTTTGTAATCCTATAAAAATTGAGGAACAAAATTATTCACTGATTTCTTTTCTTTTTTTAAGATTATACTTTAGGTTCTGGGATACATGTGCAGAACGTGCAGGTTTGTTACACAGTTATGCATGTGCCATGGTGGTTTACTGCACCTATCAACCCATCATCTAGGTTGCAAGCCCCACATGCATTGGGGATTTGTCCTAATGCTATTCCTCCCATTGCCCCCCACCCCCTGACAGGCCCCGGTGTGTGATGTTCCCCTCCCTGTGTCCATGTGTTCTCATTGTTCAACTCCCACTTATGAGTGAGAACATGCTGTGTTTGGTTTTCTGTTCTTGTATTAGTTTGCTGAAATTATGGTTTCCAGCTTCATCCATGTCCCTGCGAAGGACATGAACTCATCCTTTTTTATGGATGCATGGTATTCCATGTTGTATATGTGCCACATTTTCTTTATCCAGTCTATCATTGATAGGCATTTGTGTTGGTTCCAAGTCTTTGCTATTGTAAATAGTGCTGCAATAAACATACATGTGCATGTGTCTTTATAGTAGAATGATTTATAATCCTTTGGGTATATACCCCGTAAGGGGATTGCTGGGTCAAATGATATTTTTGGTTCTAGATCCTTGAGGAATCACCACACTGTCTTCCACAATGGTTGAATTAATTTACATTCCAACCAACAGTATAAAAATGTTCCTATTTCTCCACATCCTCTCCAGCATCTGTTGTTTCCTGACTTTTCAATGATTGCCATTCTAACTGGCGTGAGATGTTATCTCATTGTGGTTTTGATTTGCATTTCTCTAATGACCAGTGATGATGAGCTTTTTTTCCTATGTTTGTTGGCCACATAAATGTCTTCTTTTGAGAAGTATCTCTTCATATCCTTTGCCCACTTTTTGATGAGGTTGTTTTTTTCTTGTAAATTTGTTTAAGTTCCTTGTAGATTCTGGATATTAGACCTTTGTCAGATCTTTGTCAAAAATCTATGTGATTTTTTAAGAGCAAAGTATCACTTGTTCTAATCACAACTTAAAGGCACCTTGACTCATTTATATTCAAGACCTTTCAATGTCATTAAAAACAGTTTCCTAGGACACTTACTTTTCTGCTAACTCTAGTCTTATAATATTTTTCTCTTCTGCCTGGCACTTGGTTATAATATTTGTCTCCCATAGATACCATTTGGCCTCGTATTGGCTCTCAGTCTTCTTCGCTGAAGGTTCTGTTCATCTAGCTTTTCCTTCTTCTCATGCCTCTGGTAGAATGCCTTGTTTTAGCTTAGGTTCTAAGAACCATACTTCAGTACTAGATCACTTGGTGAGTATCTTGGCTCTTTTCAAGATTCCAAACCTTGTTTAGAATATTCATGTGACTACACATGTTCAAATTTTTTTTCGTAATTCTCCAGTTTCTTTCTAAAAAGAGCTAATGAAATGTCTGAATGATAGAGGCAATAGTTTTCTATTAGTTTGTTGGCTCTTTCCTAAAAACTAGGAGAAATTTTACTTTCATATTTATTTTCTGAATCACATGAATGAAAACTATATCAGCATTTATTAGGTAGGTAACAGATGGGGCAGTTACAGTGAAAAATCTAAGACAGCAAAACCTTTTGGTTGGAAGGACATTTTAACTGGAGGGATATTCTTCTGGGGCTAATCATCAGTTTAATTCTTATAAATTTCACACTTTCTGATTTTTGACATTCTTTGAAGCTGAATGAAACTCTAGAAAAAAAGCAGTCACTTCAAAGCTTTCTTGTTGGCTCTTGATAGTTTCACCATTGGTCTTTCCATCTAAAGACGATTTAATAATATATCTGAGCCTTTTACCAGCAATATCAAAGCACTGAACGCTCTTCTAGTCCAACCCTTAATAAGAACCTAACACAGGATACTGCATCACATTATCTTCCCAGTTTACTAGGACATTGGGAATTTTGAAGTTTAGTTGCCCAGGAGACTGGCTTATTTGGACTAATAGACATGAGAAACAACTTTAAAACACAAAGTAGTAAATAAGCAGTAAGTTGTCTTTTCCCTTAAACATTACCTATCTTCCTCATTGTGAATAGTTACAGTATTGTATAACTTTCAGCATTATAATTTCAAGGTTTATGAAATCTTTGAAACTCAATTTCTTTGAGTTGGGTTTGCCTTGCAACTGAAGGCATACAGAAGTACATGCCTGTAGTAATGACATTTCTCATCTTCTGTTGGCCAGTGGTTACTTCAATGGTGACTGAGAAGTCACCACAGGGCACTGTATGGCGATAGACATCACATATCCTGGTTGTCCAGATAGCCACTATTTTCATAATAAATTCATTAAATGTACAGAGTTAAATGTGATTTTTTTTTGCCTATATAACACTTTTCCTATGAGTAAACTCAGAAATCAAGGGAAAAAATCCTTTACCAGTCTATCCTGACTTTTATTTTAAAAACAGTGTCATTGCAGCAGCTAATGTGCATTTGTAAGTTCATGCTAGAGAGTAATGTCAATAGTTTGTAAGCTCATGCACAGCTCTCATTTCAGCAGCCTAAGGAAAAGAGATGGTTAAGATCCTATGAAGCTTGGAGTTAGCCTTATTTTCACTTGCTGCAATCTGGTGAAACATTTCATTTTTATTCATTTTCTTCTTCTTCCATTTTTATGCACTGGCACCCTAGTGCTATCTGGAAGTGAATTCAATGGCTCAGAAGCTGTGATTCTGTAGCTACCAAAATGTGAGAAGCTGGAGTTGTTTACAGAAGGAGCTCTCCAATGCACCCTTGGCCATTTAAACCTAAGAATTATGCAGGCAGCTTGTTAATATCTTTAAATGCTTACTGTTTCTTTGCTAAGTGACTTAGGGCTTACTCACTTCAGGAATCACAACTAGCGTGGATCCCAGGGGCAAAGCACCACATGCGGTTGTGCTCACATTCCTGAATAGCTAGACAAGGCCTGCAACAACATGCTCCTCCTCAGGGGCCGGGCTGCAGCTGTGGTGGACTGAAAGGAAGTCACACGGCATCGCCTCCCAAGGTCAGACCTGCTGCAAGAGCAAGTCAGCAGCATGGGCGACCTTTGATATCTTAGTTCCATTTTTGCTGTTGAAAGACTTGGCTTTTCATTCTGACTCTAGCCTTATGTGGTGGTGTGTCTGTAAGGCCAGTGGATCAAGCCCTTCTGTGCAGGGCCAGAGGAAAAGCAGGCCCAGGGCTGTGGTGAGAGCCGGGCAGGAGATCAGCCCTCCACATGGGTCGGAAGCATGGCTCAGAAGGACCAACTGCCCCTTCCCCTTGAGGAGCAAGTATCTGCTGATCAACGAGGCAAGGGCAGGAGCCCCGCTGGCAACAGCCAGGCTGGAAATCTGCTATCTCCACAGGAGAAGCAACATTGCTGGGGCATTGTGTTCCTGGTATCTTCTACCCAGACCACACAGGAGAGAAACACCGTGGTGGAGAAGAAAAGTGTGAACGCTGACTTCTGTGTGCCAGGAGAGCAGAAAGGCCTAGCTCTGTGCCACTGCCCTTCTCAAAGTTCACAGTGCATCCAAAGTCTCACAGGGACCAGACTGGTGCCTTGGCCCTGCTTCTGCCTGTGAATGTCCACTTCTCACCATGGTATTTTGAGACAGCTTGAGCGCTGTCTCCCAAGCAGCACGCAGTCACCACTGGCAGTGATGCAGACACGCATGAGCCAGGGAGATGGAGCTCAAGCCCAGCGCCACCTCGGACAGGGGTCCCGGCCCAGCGACTGCCTTGTGGTGTGGCTGTCCTTGTTCTGCCACAGGGAGACAGATCTCAAGGGATCACTTGCACAAGGCCTCCTGACTAAAGAGTAGAGCTGGGATTTGGACGCAACAGTCGGGCTCCAGAACTGTGATTTCAACTATGGGGTGGTTGCAGGAATGAGAAGGATTCTGTTCTAAAGCTCAGTATATGCTGTCTTATTACCTGGTTTCCCACTGAGAAAATACGTGTCTTAAGTGGAAAGTGGTATCTATTCCTCCAGCCACCTGAAAGTGCTGCATTTGTAACAGCATAGGTGCTGTAGCTTCCTAGCCATCCTGCTCTTACCCACCCCTCTGCACCGTAAAAGGCACCCACTGTTTTGTAAACACACAATTGCTTTCCAGAAAAAAAAAAAAAATTACTGTTTCTACCTATGTACTTTCTGAATCAATGAATAATTGTTATTTAATAGAATTATAATAAAGGCAAACATGATAGAGAAGAAATAACATATTTCAAGTAAAATACACAAAACTTCATCTCCAAGTAACTAGAACACTAATGCAATTCCCCATTCGTTGTACCATTTGTACCATTGTACCATCGTTCCATTTCAGGCTGGAAATCTGTTATCTCCCCAGGAGAAGCAACATTGCTGGGGCATTGTGTTCCTGGTACCTTCTACCCAGACCACACAGGAGAGAAACACCGTAGTGGAGACGCGAAGTGTGAACGCTGACTTCTGTGTGCCAGGAGAGCAGAAAATGTGTGTGCTCTAAGGCCTGTCCCAATATGAGGAAGCTACTTCAGAGTACTTTGAGATAGTACTACTTCATTTTATAAACATTTTCTGGAATTGGTTGCAGGATGGAAGTGAATCATTTCTGTATGGGACATAATTTGTAACTGTTTCTGTTATTTTCATAAAAACCTATGCTTATTCTCAACTGTAATGTTTCTAATGTTGAAAAAGAGGTGGGGCCAGGCACGGTGGCTCACATCTGTAATCCCAGCACTTTGGGAGGCCGAGGTGGGCGGATCATGAGGTCAGGAGATCAAGACCACCCTGGCTAACACAGTGAAACCCCGTCTCTACTAAAAATAGAAAAAATTAGCCAGGCGTGGTGGCGGGTGCCTGTAGTCCCAGCTACTTGGAAGGCTGAGGCAGGGGAATGGCATGAACCCGGGAGGCAGAGCAGAGATCGCACCGCTGCACTCCAGCCTGGGCAACAGAGCGAGACTCCATCCCAAAAAAAAAAAAAAAAAAAAGGAGGTAGGAAGTCACTAAAGTATTTTTGTCATTAGCGTCTCTTTTAAATAAGGCTTTTATTCTTATTATTTCAGCCCCACAGTGATCTGAAACTTGGGCAGTTTTCCATTCTAAAGCCAGCACAAAACCAACCTTTCTTCTCTCTTCCCTCTCTTCTTCTCCCCTTCCCTTGTCCCCTTGCCCTTTGCATCTCCTGATTTTCTTCTTCTCTCCCTCCCACGCTTTTCTTTTTTTCCCACCTCTCACTTCCCACTTTTTGATCTCAAACATATATTAAGCTCTTGTGTGGCAAACACGGAACAGGTTATAGAGACACAAGAACAAATAAGATGTTATCACTGACTTTGAATTGTACATAATGTAAAAAAATGTTTTCAAACTTTGACTGGGCCCATCGTAAGGAACACATTTTACCTTGCAATTCAGTACACACCTGCACACATGTATTAGTTTCCTAGGGTTGCCATCACAAAGTTCCACAAATGGGATGGCTTAAAACAAATTTGCTGCCTCACAGTTTGGGAGGCTTGAAGTTCAAAGTCAAGGTGTTGGTAGGCAATGCCATGCTCCTTCTGAAACCTTTAGGGAAGAGTCCTTCCTTGGATCTTCCCAGCTTCTGGTGGTTTGCTGCCTATCCTTGTCATTCTTTGGCTTCCATCTATAGCATTTCAGTCTCTGCCTTGGTCATCACATGGCATTCTCCCCTCCTGTGTCTTTCTGTGTCTGTGCCTTGTCTCTTTTTATAAGGGCACCAGGCATATTAAATTAAAGGCCTACCTTACTCCAGTATAACCACATTTTAACTTCACTAGTCACATCAGTCATGATCCTATTTTCAAATAAGAGCACATTCTGAGTAAAGGATTTGATGTGGTTGGGCTCTGTCCCCACCCAAAATCTAATCTTGAACTGTAATCCCCATAATCCCCATGTGTCAAGGGTGGGACCAGATGGAGGTAATGGAATCATAGGGGCGCTTTCCTCCTTGCTGTTCTTGTGATAGTGAGTATCACGAGATCTGATGGTTGTATAAGTGTCTGCCATTTCCCCTGCTTGCACTCACTCCTTCCTGCCACCCTGTGAACAAGGTTCCTGCTTCTCCTTTGCCTTCTGCCATGATTGTAAGTTTCCTGAGGCCTCCCAAGCTCTACAGAACTGTGAGTCAATTAAAGCTCTTTCCTTTATAGATTACCCAGTATTAGTTATTCCTTCATAGCAGTATGAGAATGAATTAATACAGTAATTGGTACCAAGGTAGTGGGGCACTGCTGTAAAGATACCTGAAAATGTGGAAGTGACTTTGGAACTTATTAACAGGTAGAGGTTGGGAACAGTTTGGAGGGATCAGAAGAAGATAGAAATATGTGGGAAAGTGTGGAACTTCCTGGAGACTTAATGGCTTTGACCAAAATGCTGATAGTAATGTGGACAATTAATTCCAGGTTGAGGTGTGTCAGATGGAGATGAGGAACTTGTTGGATACTGGAGTAAAAGTCACTCTTGCTATGCTTTAGCAAAGAGACTGGCAGCATTTTGCCCTTGCCCTAGAGATCTGTGGAACTTTGAACTTGAGAGAGTTGATTTAGGGTATCTGGCTTCAAGAGGAAGCAGAGCATAAAAGTTTGGAAAATTTGCAGCCTGACGATGTGATAGAAAAGAAAAACCCATTTTCTGGGGAGAAATTCAAGCCAGCTGCAGAAATTTGCATAAGTAACAAGGAGCCGAATATTAATCACCAAGACAATGGGGAAAATGTCTCCAGGGCATGTTAGAGACCTTCAGAGCAGCCCCTCCCATCACCGGCCTGGAGGCTTAAGAGGGAAAAATGGTTTTGTGGGCTGGGCCCAAGACCCCCACTGCTGCTCTGTGTAGCCTCAGGACTTGGTGCCCTGCATTCCAGCTGTGGCTAAAAGAGGCCAATGGACAGCTTGGGCCATTGCTTCAGAGGGTGTAAGCCCCAAGCCTTGGTGGTTTGCATGTGGTACTGGGCCTGCAGGTACACAGAAGTCAGAAATTCAGGTTTGAGAACCTCCACTCAGATTTCAGAAGATATATGGAAGTGCCCGGATTTCCAGGCAGAAGTTTGCTGCAGGGATGGAGCCCTCATGGAGGATGTCTGCTACGGCAATGTAGAAGGGAAATGTGGGGTTGGAGCCCCACACAGAGTCCCCATTGTGGCACTTCCTAGTGGAGCTATGAGAAGAGGGACACCATCCTCCAGACCCCAGAATGGTGGATCTGACAGCTTGCAACATGCACCTGGAAAAGATGCAGGCACTCAATACCAGCCTGTGAAAGCAGTCAGGAGTGGGGCTGTACCCTGAAAAGCCACAGGGGCAGAGCTGCCCAATACTGTGGGGACCCACCTCTTGCATCAGCAAGACCTGGATGTGAGACATGAAGAGTCAAAGGACATCATTATGGAACTTTAATGTTTAATGACTGCCCTATTGGATTTAGGACTTGCATGGGTCCTGTAGCTTCTTTATTTTGGCCAGTTTCTCCCATTTGGAACAGGTGTATTTACCCAATGCCTGTACCCCCATTCTATATGTGAAGTAACTATCTTGTTTTCGATTTTACAGGCTCATAGGCAGAAAGACTTGCCTTGTCTCAGATGAAATTTTGGACGTGGACTTTCAGGTTAATTCTGGAATGAGCTAAGACTTTGGAGGACTGTTGAAAAGGATGGTTGTGTTTTAAAATGTGAGTACACGAGATTTGGGAGGGGTGATGGGTGGAATGATATGGTTTGGCAGTGTCCTCACCCAAAATCTCACCTTGAATTGTAATCCCCATAATCCCCACATGTCAAGAGCAGGACCAAGTGGAGGTAATCAGATAATGGGGCCAGTTCCACCATGCTGTTCTCGTGATAGTAAGTGAGTCTCACAAGATCTGATGGTTTTATAAGTGTCTGACGTTTCCCTTGCTTGTACTGACTTCGTTCTGCTGCGCCGTGAAGAAAGTTCCTCCTCTTCTTTGCCTTCTGCCATGATTGTAAGTTTCCTGAAGCCTCCCCAGCAATGCAGAACTGTGAGTCAACTAAACCTCTTCCCTTTATAAATTACCCAGTCTTGGATATTTCTTCATAGCAGTGTGAGAATGGACTAATATGGGATTTAATATATATTTTGGGGGAAACACAGTCCAACCCATAATAACACACAAACATGTATGCACAGTGAAATAATAGTTCCATGAATCATCATTCATTTTTAACTGCGTGATTTTTCTACTCCCTTTTACTATGGTAAAGACTGGTTTTGACCCCTCTAAGTTGATTTCGCCACCCACTAATAGATACAACCCCCAGCTGGAAAAACTCTGTTCTAGAAAGGGAGATAGGCATGCAGAGGAATACTTACCATATAATATTATGGATGCTAAGAGAAGAATGCATAACATGAATATTCTAGCATGGGGAAAACTTTGTTTATGCAAGTAATGTAAATCTACATAAGAGGTGACATTGGTTGAGTCTCAAAAGATAAATAGGAGTCACCAGTGGTGGAAATGGGGGCTTGGCAGAAATATAAAGAAAGATGATGAATGTAGGTATGTAGGGATGATTTGATGCTTGGAGGATAAATAGGAGTTGATGGAAAAAATGAGGTCAGTTTACAATAGGTCTTACATACTATGCTAAAAAGTTTGGCTTTTATTCTGTAATAATG